>NC_000010.11:15616060-15767575 GCF_000001405.40 Homo sapiens | reverse complement strand
AATGACTTCCATGGAGGACTGGAGGTGAGCATGAGCCCAGCTGGTACCCAGATGTCTCGGGAGGACACGGGGGAAAGGAGGTGAGGATTGGCAGGAAAGGAAGAGGGAGAAGGCCAAATGCAAACACCTAGTTGAATATTTTTAAGAAGAAACAGTATCATAACCAGGACAGGCAAGATCAAGTGTAGTTAGGAGCCAAAACCAGACAGCCCCAAAGAGGTGGAATTGGAGATGGGGGAATTTCCAAACAGCAGGGAGGAGGGGGCTGTCTAGAAAGGGAGGCTGAGAGTGCCTGGTAGAGCTCATGCTGCATCCTCACCACACAGATGAGACAGTGAAACCCAGAAGTAAAGGCCCCAGGTTCCATACTAGTAAGTAGCACACTGGACCTACTTGTCATTGAGCGCAGTGCAAGGAGAGACCAATGAGTAGAGAGTCCATGGTCTTCATGGCAAAGCACAGAGGAGATTATACTTTTCCTTCTGCAGTGAGTTCCCTGCCACCTGTATGTGCAATATTCTAATTGGGACAGGGTGCAGTGGCTTACACCTGGAATCCCAGCACTTTTGGAGGCCAAGGTGGGCAGATGGCTTGAGGTCAGGAGTTTGAGACCAACCTGGGCAACATAGTGAAACCCCATCTCTACTAAAACTATAAAAATTAGCTGGGCATGGTGGTGCATGCCTGTAATCCCAGCCACTCAGGAGGCTGAGGCAGGAGAATCACTTGAACCTGGGAGGTGGAGATTGCAGTGAGCCAAGATCGATTCACTTGAACCTGGGACGTGGAGATTGCAGTGAGCCAAGATCGTGCCACTGCACTCCAGCCTGGGTGACAGAGCTAGATTGTCTCAAAAAAAAAAAAATTCCTAATTGGTTTTTCTGGTTCAGCTCTACTTAGTTCACGACCCAGGGTCCTACCCCGCTTTCTTTGTGTAAGAAAATGGGACAGGGAAGAGCGGGAGGAGAGAGGGCCTTTCTTGGGTTGTCACCTTTGTCCAAGTGTAATATTCGTGGTGACAGACCACACCCTCCTTCCGCATCCTGGGTTTGGGAGCCAGTGGGTTGCCTCCCTTCCCTGAAACTAAGTGAGGGATGTATCAGAAGAAACACTTTTTGAGACAGTGGGTGTTTGCAAGAATAAGAGACCTTCTTAGACGGCAGATAAGGGGGTATGCCCTGCTGAACAGGAAGGAAGAGAACTGGAGAAGGCATGGCAGGGCAGTAGGGCAGCCTGCATTTCTACTTTCTAGGGCCCCAGGGAAGGGAGCCATGCTTGACTCATCTCCAGGTGGTCCAGCTGGGACAGCAGCCAACCAGGAATCTAGGATTTCACCTACCGAAAACCTGTGCAGAAGGGAGGCCCCTCAGCACGTCCTAAAGAACCTGCCCGGGGCCGGGCGCGGTGGCTCACGCCTGTAATCCCAGCACTTTGGGAGGCCGAGGCAGGCAGATCACGAGGTCAGAAGATCGAGACCATCCTGGCTAACACGGTGAAACCTCATCTCTACTAAAAATACAAAAAATTAGCCGAGCGCGGTGTCGGGCGCCTGTAGTCCCAGCTACTTGGGAGGCTGAGGCAGGAAAATGGCGTGAACTCGGGAGGCGGAGCTTGCAGTGAGCCGGGATAGCGCCACTGCAGTTCGGCCTGGGCAAAAGAGCGAGACTTCGTCTCAAAAAAAAAAAAAAAAAAAAAAAAAAGAGAACCTGCCCGAGTACCCACTTGAGAGAGCAGCATTTTGGTTGGGAACCCACTGAACAAACAACACCAATGGTGGCTCAGTGTTAGCCAGAAAAGAAGAGGCCACCCCACAAGAGAGGACTACAAGACTTTCTGGTCCCAGAAAGAAGGGTGCATCGCCTTCCCTCTCCTCCCTCCTTGTCCCGGCACCTTGGAAGATCAACGATGAGTGTGAGAGGTGGTTTCCTGGACCCGCCCCCAAGCACTTCCCTCACCCTCAATCCAAGCAACCAAATTCCCCATTCAGGCCGGTACTAACCCAGGCAGGATGGGATATGGGGGAAGCTGAGGTTGACACTGAATTTGAAACTGATGCTTTAGATTAAATTGATTTTAATAACTGTTAAATGAGTGGAAAGTTAGGAAACCTTAGCATCCTCTTTAATCTCTCTCTCCATCCCACAAACCACCAAAAGAGGCTCTCAGTTCTACCTTCAAAGGATATCCACAATCCATCTGCTTCTCACCATCACACTGCTTCCATTCTGCTACAGCCACCTTAGCTATCACCCGAATGACTATACAAAGCCTCCCCCACTTACATTCTGGCTTCCCACCTTGCCCTGCTATGTCTATTTATAACACAGCAGACAGAATTATCATATTACACGCAAGTCAGATTGTGTCACTCCCCTGTTCAAAACCCTCCTGTGCTTGTCTGATACATGATCTTCACCCACCCTCATTTCTTCTCTGATTCCATTTCCAGTAACTACCCCACAAAGATATTCATATGTTCCAGCTACAACTGGCCTCTCTGCTGTTCTTCAATTCACCACACATGCTGCCTCAGGGCCTTTGCACTTACATTCCCTCTTCTTGAGACTTTTCAGGTTTTTTTCTTTTTTTTTTTTTTTTTGAGACAGAGTCTTGTTCTGTCACCCAGGCTAGTGGGCAGTGGTGAGATATTGGCTTACTGCAAACTCTGTCTCCTGGGTTCAAGTGATTCTCATGGCTCTGCCTCCCGAGTAGCTGGGATTACAAGCGCCCACCACCACACCCGTCTATTGAAACTCTCCATTCAGATATTCCAAGGTTCCTCCCTTTACCTCCTTTAGATTGCTTAAATGTCTCCTTCCAAAGAAGTCCACCCTGGCCATGCGATTTAAACTTGAACTTCTTCTCTCCAGGTCTCCATTTCCTTCTTCTTTTCTTTTCTTTTTTTTCCTCTACTTAACCCTTATCTACATCTGGCATGTTTTGCTAACTGTGGTGGAATATACATTCATGCTTTTAACTGTTTCCCAGTCCAATCAGGAGTGTTCATATGACCTGCTTTGGCCAATGAAATGCAAAAGGAAATGATGCATGCTGCCCTCTAAGCGGAAGCTACAAAGCCATCCTATGGCTTTATCACCTCTGTTTTCCCTCTGCCATCAGACCAGCACATCCCAAGGAGGGCTTTCTTCGCGACCTTGAAGGTGATACGATGAGAGCTGCAGCTAGCCTACAAAGGCCACGTAGTGTAAACTCGTTGCTTTATTTAGGTTGCACCATCTATGTGCATGTGGCCGGTCCTCATGGTGGGTTAGGCTCAATAAGAAACTAAATTACCGATTGTTTGATGGGGAAAGCATCAGAAGAAAGGAAGCTCTGCATTGTCAAAAGGACATTTACAGCAAGCTATAATGCTGGGTATTTTCACCATTCTCTAAGTCAAAGAATATTTCCGGCCAGGTGCAGTGACTCATGCCTGTAACCCCAGCACTTTGGGATGCCAAGGTGGGTGGAATACTTGAGGTCAGGAGTTCGAGACCAGCCTGGCCAACATAGTGAAACCTGACTCTACTGAAAAAAAAATTTATATATATATATATGTATGTATGTGTATATATATATGTATGTGTGTATATATATATACATACACATACATATATATATGTATGTGTATGTGTATATATGTATAAATTAGCCAGGCATGATGGCGGGTGCCTGTAATCCCAACTGCTTGGGAGCCTGAGGCAGGAGAATCGCTTGAACCTGGGAGGCAGGGTTTGCAGTGAGCAGAGATCGCACCACTGCACTCCAGCCTGGGTGACAGAGGGAGACTCCATCTCAAAAAACAAACAACAACAACAACAAAAACACCACAAAGAATATTTCCAGTATATAACTAATTCCAAGCTAACTCATCCACTCTTTATTATCTGTATTTTCCACCAGGATGTAGACTTAGTGAAAGCAAGGATATTTGCTTGTTTTGTTCACTACTGTATAAACCGTGTTTAACACACAGTGAGAATTCAATAAGAACGTGTTGAATGAATTACTCCTGTGAAGAACTGGTCAAAAGATGGGTAAAGGAAATTTGATAAAGTATGGTTTAAGTCAGTGATCAAGAAAAAAAAATTCAACTTAATATTTTTACCACCAGAGTTTCAATCACACAATCAACAAGTTATCTGTGTGCTTGAGGTATAGCAAATGCTGTATTCAGATTTGCTATTATGCCTGTTATCATTATTGGTTATACTATAATTGAAATTATGGTATAAACATCAATGATATTTTGAGAATGGAGAAGTCTTTGTCAAGGCTGGGTCCCTTTGATGGTAGAAAGTTCCAGATGGCCTTGTTTGCACAGCTGACAGCTGGCCCTGGCTGCTGACTGGGAGTTCAGCTGGGGTTGCATCCAGGGTTCTCAATTCTTCTTCACATGGACTTCCCCACAGCACAGAAGCTGGATTCTAGAAGGGAGCGATCCAAGAGGACAAGTCCCAAAATATAACAGCCAAGCGTACCTTCACTTGTTCCGTTGGCCAAGGTTGGACGCATGGCTGATGTTCCGTTGGCCGAGGTTAGACGTTGGCTGATGTTCCGTTGACCAAGGTTAGACGCATGGCCAAGCTCAGAGTCAGTGAGGGAGGTGACGATGCCAGGACATGAGCACCAGGGAGTACAGGTCATTAGGAGCCGCCAAAGTCACACACAGGCTGTCTCGGGGAGCGTCTGCACCAAAGACAGATTCAGTATCCAAAATCTCAAACTTATCTCTTTACCTGACTGTGAACTAATTCAGGAGATCCTTTCACAGAGACAACTTTGCAAAAGCCAGATTTGTAAAAGATAATATCAATTTCTTGATTTTTCTTAGAAAATATGCCAAAATCTGGGCTGGGCATGTTGTCTCACACCTGTAATTCCAGCACTTTGGGGGGCCAAGGCAGGCAGATCTCTTGAGGCCAGGAGTTTGAGACCAGCCTGGCCAACATGGTGAAACGCCATCTCTACCAAAAATACAAAAATTAGCCAGGTGTGGTGGTGTGCACCTGTAGTCCCAGCTACTCAGGAGGCTGAGGTAGGAGAATCGCTTGAACCTGGGAGGCGGAGGCTGCAGTGAACTAAGATCGTGACACAGTCTGGGCGACAGCAACACTCTGAAGAAAAGAAAGGGAAAGGGAAGGGAAAGGGAAAGGGAACGAAAAGAAAAGAAATAAGAAGAAAGAAGAAAGGAAAAGGAGAAGAGAAGGAAGAGAGAAGAGAGAAAGAGAAAGAAAAGAGAGGAAGAAAGAAGGGAGGGAGGGAGGAAATGGAGGGAGGGAGGGAGGGAAAAAAGGAATGGAGGGATGGAGGGAGGGAGGAAAAGAAAAGTAAGAAAAGAAAGAAAAAGGCCGGGCGCCGTGGCTCACGTCTGTAATCCCAGCACTTTTGGGAGGCCAAGGCTGGCGGATCACGAGGTCAGGAGATCGAGACCACGGTGAAACCCCATCTCTACTAAAAATACAAAAAATCAGCCGGGTGTAGTGGCGGGCACCTGTAGTCCCAGCTACTTGGGAGGCTGAGGCAGGAGAATGGCGTGAACCCGGGAGGCGGAGCTTGCAGTGAGCTGAGATCGCACCACTGCACTCCAGCCTGGGCGACACAGTGAGACTCTGTCTCAAAAAAAAGAAAAAGAAAAGAAAAAAGAAAAAGAAGAAGAAAAGGAAAGAAAGTAAAAGTAAATATGCCAAGATCAAAACTCAGTAGCATCTGTGTGCACGTGACAGATCTTCACAGTGGGTGAGGGGCAGTAAGACCAAATTACAGGTTGTTTGGAGAGCAAATACATAGCAAAAAGGAAACTGTGTGGTCAAAAGGACACTTAAAGCAAGCCAGTGATGCTGGGCGTTTTTACCATTCCCTAAGTTAGAAAATCAAACTTCCGTCTCACTCACTGAAACTGGCAATTTAAGTCAGTGTGGCGATTCCTCAGGGATCTAGAACTAGAAATAGCATTTGACCCAGCCATCCCATTACTGGGTATATACCCAAAGGATTATAAATCATGTTGCTATAAAGGCACATGCACACGTATGTTTATAGCGGCACTATTCACAATAGCAAAGACTTGGAACCAACCCAAGTGTCCAACAATGATAGACTGGATTAAGGAAATGTGGCAGATATACACCATGGAATACTATGCAGCCATAAAAAATGATGAGTTCATGTCCTTTGCAGGCACATGGATGAAGCTGGAAACCATCATTCTCAGCAAACTATCGCAAGGACAAAAAACCAAACACCGCATGTTCTCACTCATAGGTGGGAACTGAACAATGAGAACACATGGACACAGGAAGGAGAACATCACACACTGGGGCCTGTTGTGGGGTGGGGGGAGGGGGAGGGATAGAATTTGGCGATATACCTAATGTTAAATGATGAGTTACTGGGTGCAGCACACCAACATGGCATATGTACACATATGTAACTAACCTGCACGTTGTGCACATGTACCCTAAAACTTAAAGTATAAAAAAAAAGAGTCGATATAATGAGTCTCCAGTACAACAGACAATGAAACCAGGTTTCACCCTCAAAATTTCTTCTGTAAAGATTTAATATGATCTCATGCAATCATTGTATCAGAATTAAATACCACCAGGTAACCAGGGACACATCATCTACTAGTTCCAGTTTAAATTGGTGGTTTCTGGAAGAAATTCAAGGATACTTGTTACAACCACAAAATATGTGCATAATGCCTCACAGTTGATTTGTGACCCTAATAGCTAATCACATTCAAATCCTGATGCTGCATCTTTACATCAGCTGTAGCGAGTGATATTTTTGCACATGCTTCCAATTCCTAAAAGGACTGGATGCTATTTGGGCATAAAATTTGAAAACAAGACCGGGCACAGGGGCTGATGCCTGTAATCCCAGCACTCTGGGAGGCCAAGGTGGGTGGATGATCACCTGAGGTCAGGAGTTGGAGACCAGCCTGACCAACGTGGAGAAACCCCACCTCTACTAAAAATACAAAATTAGCCGGGAGTGGTGGCACATGCCTGTAATCCCAGATACTAGGGAGGCTGAGGCAGGAAAATTGCTTGAACCTGGGAGGCAGAGGTTGTGGTGAGCGGAGATCATGCCATTGCACTCCAGCCTGGGCAACAAGAGCGAAACTCCATCTCAAAAAAAGAAAAAAAAAATTTTGAACACAAGTGTTTAGAAACATCAGTCTGGCATCACTCATCAGATTGTTAGGAAAAGAAAGACCAAAGATGGAAAAATAAATTAATGATGAGGCCCCGGACTAGGGAAGGGAAGAAGGAAGATGAAAAGCACAGTAAAGAAAAATCAACAGGATGGGGTTTGAGGGTTTCATCAGATATGGGGTACAAAGAGAAGGAGGACATAAAGATGATTTCAACTTTTTTATTTCAGGGGTTGAAAATGGAATTAGAGAAAAAAAATCATCTGGAATCAGAAGGAGTAGGAGGATAAGTTATTTGAGGGGCAGATTCAGTTTCAAATATAGTTCTTCATTCAACAGATTTTTTTTAGCTAACACTGTGCCAGACACAATTCTAAGCTCTAGGGTCCAGTGGCAAACAAGACAAGGTTTCTGCCTTCAGGCAGTTCATGTTCCACCGGAGAGAGGCACACTGCAACCATCTAAGTAAACAAAATAATTTCTGATAATAACATATAAATGCTATCAAGAAAATAAAAGTTGGAAATACGACAGTGAATGGGACTGATGGGGAGGTGGTAACTGCATGACCTGGGGAGGTCAGGGAAAGCCCAAGACGGGGATGATATGAATGAACTCACTAAGGAAGCATCTCACGGGGAGGCATTCCAGGTAGAAAAAACAGCAAGGAGAAAGGCTCTAGGCTGCGAACTAGGTTTGCAAGTTTGAAAGTTGGAAATAAAGTTTTTATTTTCATACAAATGGTGCTTCTTGACACTGAGTACTTCCTGCATTATAGCATTTCTTAGGCTGTGTACTCACTGCTTGTTTAACTACCCTGCTTCCCTCAACAGACTCTCAAATCAAAGTGCTGAGGGTACCAATGGCCTGAGGAGGTCTGGGGTCAGCCCAAAGACATCTCAGAGTTCAGGAGGACAGCATTCCCCCAGAAGGCACCAGGAGGATGCCACACAAGACCTGACACACTTCAGCAGGTCCCTGTGCAGGGTGCAAAGTGACCAGGAAGGAGAGAGCTTCTCAGCTCCCCAGAAATTCATGAACTTCTCTTTTCATTCAGGTGACACTGTGGGAAGGATGAGTGGGAGGAAAGACCCTGATAGGGAATTTGAAGTTTATTAATTGAATCAATGTATCTGGAAGGAACTATGTTAAAGAGAAAAAGACCATTATCTTTACTTGTCAAATGTAACTGTCTTTCTAGCATCTATGAGAATGGAGGCTCAAGAGTTATTCACGTTCAAGTAAAAACAATAAGGAAAACTATCATTTGTTCCCATCTTTACATTATAGTTTATTAAATTTGACCCTGTTTTATTAATAGGGCAAATTATCAACTCAAAAAAAAGAAAGTTGGAAATGAAGGAGACAAGGTAGGAGACTAGTTTGGGGATGGCAGGCAGAGGTCTGTTGATATCAGAGTTTTAGGCCACGGTGAGAAGTTTGGATTTCATTCTCATAGTTAGGGGCGCCACGGGAGAACATGAAACACGAAAGTGTTAGGATCTGATTTAAAAGGTCACTCTGACTGCTCTGTGGGGGATGTAATATAAAGCACCAAAAGTGGACCCAAGAAGTAAGTTAGAATGCTACTGCAGGACTTCAGTAAGAGCTGTTGGCCTGGATTATGTGCTGGCAGCACAGGAGCTGAGCACCGTCCAACTGGTAGATAAACTTTCATAGAAGAGCTAACAGGACTTGCTGATGGGCTTAAGGTGGGAGGTGAGGAAAAGAGGGTAATCTTACAAGGCTGGTACCTACAGAGCCTAAAGAGAGAGAAAGAGACAGAAAGTGAGAGGCACTGAGGGACAGAAAAAAAAACATGCAGGATTGGAGAGACAGCAAGAGAAAGAAGAGCAAGATTTTCAAGATGGGGGGATTCTCCAGGTACCTAGAAATACAGGGATAAAAGTTAGATGAAAGGTTAGAATTGCAGATGTAAATTGGAAACTTATCAGCCTAAATGTGATGGTTCAAATGTTCATACACACTAATAGGCTAAGCATAGAACAGGAACAACAAGTCATGGAAAGGTGGGTATTCTTCTTTAGAAATTAGCAGGAGGAAGGAGAGACATAGGGCCATCCACAGAGACCAATGACCAGAGCAGGGAGAGGCCAAGGTGGACTGAAGCTGTGTAATACAGGCACTGAGTCTCAGATGACTTCATCCACTAGCAGCGCCCATTGCAGGGCCTTGTTTGTTGGTTTGTTTAATCTGAGACTTTAAAATAACTGAGGATATTTCAAAGACCTTACTGATCCAGAAGGACAAGGGCTTGGAAAGCGCCAATTAATTTTTAAAAGGAAGCCTTGGCAAACTGAAAGTCTTGAAACTGAAATCAATTAACAACAAGATACCAATATATACCTAGTAGAATGGACCAAGTCCAAAACATTGACATCAAATGCTGACAAGGCTGTGGAGCAAACAGGAACTCTCATGCATAGCTGGTGGGTATGCAAAATGGTACAACCCCTTTGGAAGACAGTTTGGTAGTTTTTTACAGAACTAAACATACTCTTATTATACACTCCAACAATCGTGCTTCTTAGTATTTACCCAAATGATTTGAAAACTTAGGTCTACACAAAAACCCGCACGAGGATGTTTGTTTATGCTTAATTTATAATTGGCAAAACTTGGAAGCAACCAAGATGTCTTTCAGTGAGTAAATGGATAAATGAACTCTGGTATATACAGACAATGGATAAATGAACTCTGGTACGTACAGACGATTATTCACTGCTAAAAATAAATTAAGTATCAAGCCGTGAAAATATGTGGAGGAAATTTACATTCTTGAAAAGACAAAACTATGTATAAATGAAAAAGATCAGTGGTTGCCAGGAGATAGGTTTGGGGGGAAGGATGACTAGGTACACAGATGATTTTTAGGGAAGTAAAATTATTCTGTATGATGCTACAGTAATATATATGTGTCATAATACATTTGTCCAAATCCATAGAATGCACAGCACAGAGTGAACCCTAATGTCAACTCTGGACTTTGGGGGACAATGATGTATCAGGGAAGGTTCATCAGTTGTAATACATGTGCCACCCTGCTGGGGGATGTCCATTAGTAGGGGAGGTTATATGTGGGTGGGGACAAAGGGTATATGGGAACTCTTTGTGCTTTCTGCTCAATTTTGCTATGAACCTAAAACTGCTATAATGTTTTAAAAAAGTGAGATGAGCAGAGAAGTAGGGCCTAAGACAAAAGGAAAGACACCCGGAACCAAAGCTAGAGCTGTCAGTGAGATAAGGATGGTTGCTATTATTTGTTAGCTCAACTCCACTCTTCCAGTTGCCTAGCCACAAACCATGGCACCATCTTCATTCCCCTTCTCTCTCATCCCTCATCCAGTCCATCAGCAAATACTTTTGGCTGTGTCTTCAAAGTGCATGGAGATGCTAATCACTTCTCCCCATCTCCACCATCCAGCCCTCTCCTCTTCCTCATCTATTGCAGTAGCTTTTTAATGAGACCCCTGTACCCCACACTCCTTTGAGTACCTAGGGTCTATGCTCAATAATGGAGCCCATTGATCGCATTAAAGTTTAAGCCAAGGTCATGTCCCCACTCAACATCCCCCAAAGACTTCCCTTCTCATTCAGAGAAAAACCAACAACATCCTTTCATGGCCAAAAAGCATCCACAACTGTGCAGTCCCATCTCAGATCGTTCCTACCAGCCTTCCCTACCCTCCCAGCTCTGCCTGAACCCCACTCACATCCCCAACTTGCTCCTCCAGGAATTCACCAGGCATGGCCTCTATGCTTCTTGGTCTTTCTGTCTGAAATGTTCCTCCTCAGGACACCTATGTGAGTAACACCCTCGTTTTCTCCAGCTCTTTACACAATGCCTTCTTGTCTACTTTCAATAAAATAGCAACAGCATGCCCCCCTTCCCCCCGACCCACTGCCACCCACAAATACTGGCCAGGCATGTGCCATCCCCTTTACCTTGTATTATTTTCCTCCACGGCACTTTTTACTATTTGGCATTTTCTGCCTTGAATGGTTCATTATTTTATTGTTTGTCTCTCCTCCCTAGAATGTAATTCTTATGAGGGCAGAGGCTATGATCTACCCGCTGCTGTGTCCCCAGCACCTAGTATCTGGCACACTCCAGGAACTTGAACATTCTTTGTTGAATGAATTACTGACTGTGCAAATAGAAGAAATTTCCAAATGTTTGAAGGTGGACACGAAAAAGAAATGGAAAAGTGAGCAACAGAGGCTGCTGGAACGTCTCCTATCACAGTTTTGCCACACACTTTTAGAATAAATGGCACATTCCACTATTTTATTAGGGAAGTTCCTGCCTCTTTTTATTATTGTGCACTGACTGCCCAAACTGATATATATTTTATATCTTTCACTGATATTTGACTTTTAAACCTCATTTGCTTAATGCAGTCTTTACGAACTCATTTAAGTTTTTTAGGATGCGTGGTGTTGGATTATAAGCTCCAACAAAGCCTGAATCGCAGCTGTTTGTCTTTTAGGCTATTTTCAGATGCCTTTGCTTGTAGACTACATCACTATATCTAAGCGAAAAAAACAAAACAAAAAACTCTACCCACTCTCAAAGACTTGAACACAAAACAACTGTCATGTTTATCAAAACCTGATAAACTTTTCAAACTGCTATTATTACTTCAATAGCCAAATCAAACTGCAAACAAGCAAGGCATGTTTTTGATAAGACATCAATTTGCTATCACTAAGAAATTATAGCAAAATGAGAAATCACTTGTCTCCTTGCTCAGCGCCTTCAAAAAAAAAAACATGAAATAGCTTCAATTACATTTACTGAGCAAATAGAAAGAACACAGCTTTAGGCTCTTATGAGCACCACTAAACAAGGAAATCATCTATGGCTACAAGTAAGCAGCATCACTGATATTTTCATTTCTATCTGTAATAATTGTTGATACCATAGTTAAGGATGAAAAGGAAAACTAAAGATGAAAAAAGAATACTCGGAATACTCCACTGAGCCACTCGAGAATAGGACCAGAATCTCAGATTTTGCGATACTCTTAAAATTGCAGCAACTTGCTTTCTGCAGTTCTGGTATCACTGTCCTCATTATCCCTTCAAACGTTCTTGTGTAGCCAGAAAAGAGAAGGAATCTAAGGGAAAAAACAGAAGAGTTCCAAACCTTTGACATGAAAGAACACTGTTCCATCCCTGTGTGGTGCTATGTAGCAATAAAACAGACAAAAGGCTAAAACTTGTCTGTTACAGCAATTATGAGCTTTACAAGGTTAAATCTTACTGTAGGTCTCCAAGGCCTGTCTCTATGGGAACTGCAAATCATCAACACGTGACTTTGAAACACAGACTGTTTCCCCCATGGAACATCCCCAGACACATAAGGTAGGGATGAGTTGGAGGAAATCTTTCATGGCTAAATTGTTACCTACAGGTTCATCTTTACTTTCATATTTCCTAGGGTTAAGGTTAAGTAATACCTTTTAAAATTTTTATTTATTTATTTATTTGAGATGCAGTTTCACTCTGTTGCCCAGGCTGCAGTGCAGTGGCATGATATGGGCTTAGTGCAACCTCCACCTTCTGGGTTCAAGCAATTCTCCCTGCCTCAGCCTCCTGAGTAGCTGGAATTGCAGATGTCTGCCAGCATGCCCAGCTAATTTTTGTATTTTTAGTAGGGAAAGGGTTTTGCCATGTTGGCCAAGCTGGTCTTGAACTCCTGACCTCAGGTGATCTGCCCGCCTCAGCCTCCCAAAGTACTGGGATTACAGGTGTGAGCCATTGCGCCTGGCCAAGTAATACTTCTTCCCATCCTGTCCTTATCCTCGAGCTATAATAATTAGCATAGTGTGATACAGGTTCTGAAATAGACTGACGGAGTAGAATAGAAGGTATAGAAATGTGTTCATGTATGTGGACATGTCTATACACATGTCTGTGTCTGTGTGTGTTAAATATGTGAATTTTAAATCGAAGACAAAAGGATGGATTATTTGTCAACCTGTATCCATATGAGAAAAAAACTTACATTCCTACCTTGTATCTTATACTAAAGTATATCCCAAATGCATGTGATACCCTAAGAATTCTGGTAAAAAGTTACAAGTGACTTTTTATATGGCCTTAGGAGGGAAAAAGACTTTCTAAAGCATCGCATAAAATAGGAAAATGATATCACGCCTGCAATCCCAGCACTTTGGGAGGCCAAGGTGGGCGGACCACGAGGTCAGGAGATCGAACCCATCCTTGCCAACATGGTGAAACCCTGTCTCTACCAAAAATATGGAAGACAAATTAGCTGGGCATGGTGGTATGCACCTGTAGTCCCAGCTACTCAGGAGGCTGAGGCAGGAAAATCACTTGAACCCAGGAGTCGGAGGCTGCAGTGAGCCGAGATTGCGCCACTGCACTCCAGCGTGGGGCAACAGAGTGAGACTCTGTCTCAAAAAAAAAATAGGAAAATGATACCACTAACACATAAATGATATAATGTCTGTATACAGAAAACCCCAACTAACATTTTTTTTAAATGACAAACTAGGAAGAAACATGCGTGTATGTGTCTAAGAGTTTACATCACTACTCTACTCCAACAGGAAAATAGACCTAACATTTTAACAGGACATTCACTAATTTAAAAACACCATTCTGGCCAGGTGCAGTGGCTCATGCCTGTAATCCCAACACTTTGGGAGGCCGATGTGGGTGGATCACCTGAAGCCAGGAGTTCAAGACCAGCCTGGCCAACACAGGGTGAAAACCCATCTCTACTAAAAATACAAAAATTAGCCAGGGATGGTAGTGGGCACCTGTAATTCCAGCTACTTGGGAGGCTGAGGCAGGAGAATCTCTTGAACCTGGGAGGCAGAAGTTGCAGTGAGCCGAGATCAGGACACTGTACTCCAGCATGGGTGACAGAGTGAGACTCTCTCTCAAAATAAATAAATAATTTTTTTTAAAAAATAAAAACACCATTCTAAGCCTTGACTTCCCTCCTTTTTTATTTTTCCTTAAGAGACAAGGTCTTGCTCTGTCACGCAGGCTGGAATGCAGTGGTGCAATCATGGCTCACTGCAGCCACAAACTGCTGGGC
Organism: Homo sapiens; assembly: GCF_000001405.40. NCBI lineage: Eukaryota > Metazoa > Chordata > Mammalia > Primates > Hominidae > Homo > Homo sapiens. The sequence continues at coordinate 15,753,317 of NC_000010.11, read as the reverse complement.
TCAAGTGATCCTCCTGCCTCAGCCTCCTGAGTAACTGTGACTACAGGTGTGTACCACCACACCCAGATCATTCTTTGTAGATACTGGGTCTCACTACGTTACCCAAGCTAGTCTCCGACTCCTGGCCTCAAGCAATTGAAGACTTGGCCTCCCAAAGTCCTGGGATTACAGGTATGAGTGCAGCTGGTTTCCCTCCTGAAAACTGAGAATACTAATAATGCATAGAAACATAGAAAAAGCTTAGTGTTGTTTGGCCCTGCCCTTGGGTCCTCAATAAAATAATTTCACTTACTATGGTGTAGGTAAATCTGTGTGTGCACATGAGTCTATCTATATGACCCAGTTCTCCCAGTTTACCCAACATTGTCCAGTTTTAGATTTGAAAGCCCAGTAACCCAGGACATTCCTCAGTGCCATGCAAACTGCCACTGCCACAGTCGGTCACTCTACAACACACATACCCAGCCAAGGACCTGGCAAAATGTGCACCAAGGCTTTAATAGTATTTAATTCCGGGAAAGAAGAGTTATTGATTTTTTTTTTTTTTTTTTTTTTTTTGGAGACAGTCTCGCTCTGTCACCCAGGCTGGAGTGCAGTGGCGCAACCTCAGCTCACTACAACCTCCGCCTCCAGGATTCAAGCGATTCTCCTACCTCAGCCTACCCAGTATCTGGGACTACAGGCGCGTGCCACCACGCCTGGCGAATTTTTTGTATTTTTAGTAGAGACAGGGTTTCACCGTGTTTCGGTCTCCTGGCCTCATGATCCACCCGCCTCAGCCTCCCAAAGTGCTGGGATTACAGGAGTGAGCCACCACATCTGGCCAATTTCTCTTATTTTTTATGCTTAGTTGTATATTCTAATATTTCCATAAATATTTGTGTTGATTTTCTGATAATAAAAATATATTTCTCTCAACTGCACCTTAAAAAATGGAATACGGCCAGGGGTATTCCAAATACCCAGTATTGGGTATTTCTTTACAGCAGTGTGAGAACGGACTAATACCCCCACATCCCCTTCCCCTGAAAACAATAGTTCTAGGCTGGGCACAGTGGCTCACACCCGTAATCCCAGCACTTTGGGAGGCCGAGACAGGCAGATCACCTGAGGTCGAGAGTTCGAGACCAGCCTGACCAATATGGAGAAACCCTGTCTCTACAAAAAATACAAAATTAGCCAGGCACAATGGCACACGCCTGTAATCCCAGCTACTGGGGAGGCTGAGGCAGAAGAATCACTTGAACCAAGGAGGCAGAGGTTGCAGTGAGCCGAGATCGCACCATTGCACTCCAGCCTGGGCAACAAGAACAAAACACTATCTCAGAAAAAAAAAAAAAGGAATACAGTTTTGCAACTATTAACATGTAGAAAATCTTCCCAAATATTGACTATTATTATATATTATATATATTATATTATATTAGCATAATTAGCTATTATATTAGCAAAACAGCGAATACGATAAAATCTTCTGCCCCTCAAGACATGACAGGGTCTTAATTTGCCAGCACTCCAGAAGTTCTCCCTGGGCGTATGTTTTGCACTTTCATGCCTTCACAATTATCATTGGAAATACAATATAAGTGGTTTAATGAATGGCGACTCGCACCACTGTATTAGCATATGTTTTTGGTGCTGTCAGTAAAAATGGGAGACTCTCCATGAACCTGTTCCGTTCAGTACAATTACATGTGTGATGTCACAACTTCAAAGACTTACTGACGTGTTTCAAATTTGTCCATTGGCTGCCAAGATTATGTCATTACGGTAGCAAGGTGGCAGCGTAACGACAGATGCAATTTATACTTAAATTGAGAGTTTTAAAGTTTTTATGTATTTCAGTTTCTTACAATATGAACCGTTCTTGATTTAAATATACACATTGAATTGGGAGGAGTCGGGGAAGAAGGGGAGTTACCGAAGAACTTTGGTGAGGAACAAAGGATGTTTGGTTATTCTTTCAGGACACAGCTCATGAGAGCTGCCAGCTGTGTGCAGGATAGAAGTGGTGGGGAGGACAAACTGAAGGGCAGGCAGCCTTGTCCTGTGACTAGGAAAACCTTCTCAGTTCACACAGACGTTCACAGTACCACTGAGATCATCTCTCAATTCCTTATTTTCTGCCAGCAAGCTGTTAGTGGCTTGACTAAAGTCTTTCCAGTGACTGTATTTTTGAATGCTTCCACATGAGCCCCAGAATGTCTCAGTTGTGAAAAGAAATAATGTATTGGCCTGGGCGCTGTGGCTCACGCCTGTAATCCCAGCACTTAGGGAGGCTGAGGCGGGCGGATCACCTGAGGTCAGGAGTTCGAGACCAGCCTGACCAACATGGCGAAACCCTGTCTCTACTAAAAATACAAAATTAGCTGGGCGTGGTGGTGCCCACCTGTAATCCCAGCAACTCTGGAGGCTAAGGCAGGAGAATCGCTTGAACCCGGGAAGTGGAGCTTGCAGTGAGCCGAGATCGCGCCACTGCACTCCAGCCTGGACAACAAGACCGAAACTCCATCTCAAAAAAAAAAAAAAACAAAAACAAACAACAAACAAAACACACACACACAAAACTATTTATTTTTCAACACCAAAAGAAAAAAATATAAGACAGGCTCTCATAACCTAGCTCTGTCTTAGAGCTAAGCTACACACACACACACACAAGCAGCTGCTGTCCAGAACTTCATGAGAACAGATGTAACTCAGCCCTATTCAGAATCCAGGACCTCTGATTTCAATGGCTCACCTATATTACAAGAGACAACTCAGCCATAATTCCAGATGTATTCAAAATCCCACTTTTTTTTCTTTTGAGATACGGTCTCACTCTGTTGCCCAGGCTGGAGTACAGTAGCACAATCACAGCCCACGGCAGTATGGGGCTTAGGTGATCCTCCTGCCTCAGCCTCCTGAGTAGCTGGGGCCACAGGCAGGCACCACCGTGCTCTGCTAATTTTAGTATTTTTTGTAGAGATGGGATTTTGCCATGTTGCTCAGGCTGCTCTCAAACTCCTGGGCTCAAGCACTTTACCTGCCTCATCCTCCAAAAGTACTGGGATTAGTGGCATGAGCCACCTCACCAGACCAAAATCCCATCTTTTGAATCTAGCACAGCGTTCATTTACCTGTTATTGCCTTGACCTCCTCTAGAGAACTGTCTTTGCTTCTCACTGTTGGCCTCATTATGGAGGCCACATCAAATATCTGTGATCACATTACTGCTATATAAAGTCCTCCTTTCTGTCTTTGCTGGAGACAAAGTGTTTCTTTTCAGCAACTGCAGCAAACCAAAAACAAATTGAGCTTTGGGCTTTATTGCTTTCCAAAACAAAACAAAACAAAACAAAACAAGGGGGAGCACAGTGGCTCACGCCTGTAATCCCAGCACTTTGGGAGGCCAAGGCAGGCAGAACACTTGAGGTCAGGAGTTTGAGACCAGCCCGGCCAACATGGTGAAACCTTGTCTCTACTAAAAATATAAAAGTTAGCAGGGCATGGTGGTGCACGCCTATAATCCCAGCTACTCGGGAGGCTAAAGCAGGTGAATTGCTTGAACCCGGGAGGCGGAGGTTGAGGTGAGCTGGGATGGCACCTCTGCACTCCAGCCTGGGCGACAGAATGAGACTCTGTCTCAAAAAAAAGAAAAGGAAAAAAAAAAAAGCCAAGCCACACACCAGAAAAGCCTCCTCTTCTATTGCCAAAAACGCATCTCCCAAGGTGTCCCTTTTTCTCACTCACTCACTCAGCCTTCAGTCCCCTCCAAATGCAAATGAAAAATAATGCCACTAGGTAGAATATTTTTTAAGATTTCATGCAAAACTTACTTTACACCCACTGTTATCATTTTTATAGAGCTGCCTGATATGGAAAAATCACCTAAAGAAGATACAATCTTCTGATAATAGCACTGCAGGAGAAAGTAAGTCACACAAGTCCCTGAAGATACATACAGGCTGGCAGCAAGCAGAGTTCTCCATGAAATGGTGGTAGAAAGTATGAAGGAAAATAAGCAGTCACATGGATCGATCAGTCCATAAAACCTGTACCCACAGGGACGGGCTGGGGCTCAGGCCAAAGTCAAGAAACCAAGACGGAGCAACGCACGAGTCCGCGAGCATAGCAGTTGATCTCTTGTCAAAAAGACTTACAAACTCAGCTCATTAACTCAGAGCCAGCTTCCAACTTTTCAGAGTTTCTGAGTGTTGGCAGTGGTGGCAAGGTTCTTTTGAAGGTTAGCCAGGCATGGTGGCTCATGCCTGAAAGTCTAGCACTATTGGGAGGTCAAATCAGGAGGATCACTTGAGCCCATGAGTTTGAGACCAGCCTGGGCCATATAGCAGGACCCCATCTCTACTAAAAAAAAAAAAAAAAAATTAGCGGGGCATGGTGTTGCATCATTGTAGTCCCAGCTACTCGGAGGCTAAGGTGGGAGGATTGCTTGAGCCCAGGAGGTTGAGGCTGTAGTGAGCCATGAACATACCACTGCACTCAAGCCTGGGTGACAGAGTGAGACCTTATCTCAAAAAAATAAAAGATCCTTTTGAGGTTCCAGGTACTTAACCTTTCCTCTCTCATTCCTTTCATTCTCAGGTATTTCCTTTCTGTTACATTATGTCGCCATAAGACCCAGCTGCCCCATTGAGTTCCTCACCAACTTTCCTGCCCTCTACCTCCTCCTACGTCCTCTCACACCTGCTACCCTGTCTTCAGAAATGATTACTGGCTCTGCAGTGATTACATTATATTTATTGTATGTATATTTATTGTATGTATATTTATTGTTTTGATCACATTGAATTGATTATGGGTTGTAGAGATATTTCTTATGTACTCTTTACCCTCATCATCAAACAACCTTAGTCTCTAATTACAAACAGCAGCAGCAACTCTCCTTCTCTTCATCCTCCTGTTAACCACGCCTCCTCCAGGCCTGCCACATAGCCCAAGTGAGTGGATGATGAGAATACTTCGAACTGTTTCATTCCCGGCCACAGGGAGTGTCACAGCAGCATAGAGGAAAATCCATTTTCAATTCAGACTGCAAGCAAGCAGCAGCTGCACCCACCAGAGCTGTGTGAAACAACTGCACACAATATGTTCACTGGGCAAAGAGATCCTTCTTGGCCACAGAGAATAAAGCTTGCAAAGAGAACCCAAGCAGAAGTTCATACAGGTAGAGAAAGACAGAAAGAGGCAACGTTCATTTGAAGAGAATATAGCCAGCATTTTGTATAACGTTCATTTGAAGAGAATATAGCCAGCATTTTGCATAACGTTCATTTGAAGAGAATATAGCCAGCATTTTGCATAACACATTGGGAAAAAAATCTTTTCCTAAAAATCAACAGGTAAAGATTCATGACTTATAGGCTGTGGTAAAAGCAATTACATCAGAAAAGACCAGTTCCTTTCTGTGCTTAGTCCTGTGGACTTTGATGGGGGTAAATAAAAGATGTCACAGCACAGCTGGTGCAGAACAAACCCCAGGGCCTGGAAAAAGATTACACGCAAGAGTCTGAGCCCACTCTGGTGAATGCCCTCACAGGTTAACGAATGAGGAAGAACTGAACATGATTACAGCCATCCAGCAGATGCCCCTTATTGCTTTGAGGGGGAGATCTGGAAAAATCTATAGGAAATTGCGTATGGTTCTCATTTGGGATATGAACTCAGTCATTCTCAAGAAATCCTTCCACTGCATTTGTCAGATGCTCTCTCTGATATCCTTTAGCTGTGACCCCACTCAAGTCTCATCTTGAATCGTAGCTCCCATAATTCCCACACGGGAGGGACCCGCTGGGAGATAATGGAACCATAGGGGCAGTTTTCCCCATATTGTTCTCATGGTAGTAAACAAGTCTCATGAGATCTGATGGTTTTATAAGGGGAAACCCCTTTCACTCGGTTCTCATTCCCTCTCTTGCTTTCTGCCATGTAAGATGTGTGTTTTGCCTTCTGCCATGATTGTGAGACCTCCTAGCCATGTGGAACTGTAAGTCCATTAAACCTCTTTTTCTCTAAATTACCCAGTCTCAGGTATGTCTTTATCAGCAGTGTGAAAACAGACTAATACACTCCCCCTCCTGTGAGGCTGAGCAGTCCCTCCCTGTCACTGACTCCCTCTAGAAGCCTCTGATACCCAACCAGCACATCTTACCTAAAATCACAGAAACCCCTGAACCCATCACATTTACCTCTATCTTTGTGTAGAGAAGGCACTAGTGATATGTGTTTGCCTATTTCATAGCATCTATATGTATTGATATTTATTTGATCCCCTATTTGAAGTAAAAGATTACACCAGATACTACGAAGAAACAAAGTTTAGGTAGCACATTGTTGCCATCAGAGAGCTAACAATCTGGTCAGATGAAAGAAGATGAAAAATCGTAAGTTAAAATGATGCAGCAATTAAGAAAGACCTCAGGACTGGTGGTCACAGCTTGGGGAATTGGAGGGAAGACTCCCACGGGGATTAAGTGTTCTTCTGCATTTCCTTCCCTACATTCAGGAAGGGGTATTAATTTTTCTTACTGAGTCCTTGGGGCTAGCCCCCCAACCTACTCAAAAAATTGGAGTATGGGTACTAGGCCTGAGCCATGATGTTCTACTCCAGGAGGCTGGAAAGGATGTTAAGGGAAAAAGTCACTTGACCACTGGAGACCCAGGAAGCAGCATCTTTAAATCAGAACCCAGTAGGACGGCCGATCAGGAATGCAATCCCAGGCTAGGATTGCGGGGAGAGAGAGAAAATACAGATGCGAGGGAGGCCACCAGCTGGAAGCCAAGGAAACCACGGTTAAGTGAAAAGATTTGAACCAGGGGGTGGGCACAGAGACTGGGAACATTCTCCAAGTCAAAGAATATGGCTGCAGTGAGTAGCTTTTATTAAAGATAATTGCACCCTTGGGTTTTAGTAGGATGAATTATACAAGGGGCTCACTGAATTTAGACACCACCTTCCACCAACAGGAGAGGGATTTTGCTTCCCCCAGGCTTATGCAGAGCAGGCCCTAATGTGCCCCAGGACATTTCTGAGGTGGGAGAAGGGTTTCTTCGCCTAGCTGTTTGACCCAGTGGCTGATTTTAATGCCACTATGTTCCCAGAACCTCTTCAAACATGTACATAAGGGTTCAAGGTAGAGAAGGGAGTCTGGAGTCTTGGATGAGCATGAGTAGAATGCTTGGGGTGTAAAGACCTGGAATATAGCATCTGTTGTTTCCTTGGAGAGTCAGAAGTTTTGGTCTTCCAGCAGCTGGCTTGGGCAAAATGTGTGTTGTATCTGGAATCAAGCCCAGACTCACAAATCTCCCCCCAGTCTCCCAGGGCCCAGCACTAGTTACTGAATTCCTTATATGTATATGACGACAGCTTAATATTGACCAGCTGTTGGGGTAACAGTGGTGCCAGAGGTGGTGGAGGACCAGTAGAAGTGGAAGAGTAATGGATTCCAAAGGGAGTGTTCTGGCCAGTGAACTATGGTGTGTCATCACAACTGAATTCTGTTGGGAATACATAGAGCATTTGTCTTTTTTTTAGTAAGAGGTGCTATTCTGGAGTTACCATTTGAGTATGAATTGATCCATTCCATATGGCTAATGGTCTATACACAACAGGCAGTGAACATGTGGAACAAGACTTGGAAGGTCTAGAACAGTCGGCTGTTTGTTCTGACAACGAATCACTGGAGTTAAGACTACAGACAATTGATCTCATCCTAAGTCTACAGAATCAGAATATTCAGGTGTCAAATTATGGCACATGTACATTTTTAAAACTCAAGTGATTCTGAGGCACAGCCAAGGATGTAAGTAAGCCTTCACTGTAGAACAATGCTTTCCAAAATTGAGAGGCAAAATGATGGCTGATTTCTGATATTATGTGGTCCATGAAGCTGAAGCCAAGTCATCTGTGGAAGTGTTTTAGGCTTAGGACATCTGTGGAGGCAGAAGGCCAACTTCATAGACATGGTGGCAGTTGTGAAACAGAGATTAATGGGAGATAAATGTACCCTCGCCATAGGACTAGTGGGCAATGACTTCCACTTCTGTTCAAGATCATTTCACTTTAGGAGGTACAACAGGAGAGAAGGAAAAATGTTAGTCTGTATTCAGGTTATTTCACAAAGAATATTATTTGGATTATTAATATTTCTGTTGGAAGAGAATTGAGTCACAGTGAATATGTTTAAGCTTAGATATTGATAATATTTTAAAATATATAATCAATCATAGATAACCTTGTTCTGGTCACCTTGACCTAGCCAGATACACCCTGTATTCCTAAGTATTTAATTCACTAAGTTAAATGAGGTGGGATCAATAGGATTTGGATCACTACTCTTCTGACTGGATTTTAATAAACAGGCCACTGGCTCATAAAGACTTTCTAACTGAACAAGAAGAGATGCCAGTGAAAGTGAGGTTCTGCTCTGATCGCAATGGGAGTGGAGGGACAGGAGGAGGCGAAGTGGACACCATGAGAAAACTGAGCCCTTTGAAATAGTACCCACTGCAGGGAACATGTTGATGAAGAGACTCAACTTCTTTAGCAGATTTCCCTATAGGGAAAGCAAGGAAAAACTGATATTCCAGCAGCAATCAAGCCAAGCACAAGGGGATTGTTAACATCACGTGCCAGCCACCTACATCCCACCCATGAAAGTATCTTCCTAGGGAGCTTGGGTGGAAGACTGGATCGTAGATAGTCCATTGTTGTCTCCACTTCCTTCTTTTACTACAATTTCCAGTAAGGAGATCACATTTCACTTCAAAGTTCCCAGTGTTGACTGCTCAATTTGATAGAGAAGAAGATGATCCAGGGGTCCAAATTCCTCTGACTAGTCAGTCAGTCCACGGACACGTCCACTAGATGGCAGCATGCTGAAATGTCATGACAGATACAAGGCCACCAAAAGCCTCTTTGGATCACATTTAATGTTTTAAATAGGCCCAGTGGTCAGCGGGTGCAGTGCCATGACGCAGGCCAAGTACCTGGGCTGTGGCCTCCTTGGTTGATACCTAGGGCCACTCTCTCTCCCTGTCATGGTTTAGATGTTTGTACCCTCCAAATCACATGGTGAAATATTATTCCCCTTGTTGGAGGTGGGGCCTGCTGGGAGGTGATTGGACCATGGGGGTGAATCCCTCATGAATGGCTTGGCACCATCCCCTCTTAGTGGTAAGTGAGTTCTTGCCCAATTCACCTGAGATCTGTTTGTTTAGAAGAGTCTGAGGCTCTCTCCTTCTCTTTCTCTTGCTTCCGTTCTCACCATGTGATGTACCTGCTCCCTGTCACCTTCCACCATGATTGGAAGGTTCCTGAGGCCCTCACCAGAAGCAGATGCCAACACCTTGCCTCCTGTACACCCTGAAGAACCATGACCCAAATAAACCTCCCTTATCAATTACCCAGCCTCAGGTATTTCTTTATAACAATGTAACAATTGCCTAACACACTCCCCATCCTCTCCTCTGCACTCTCCACTTCCCATGACTGCCTTCTTATTTCAAGGCAGGGTCGCCACACCTAAGCAATCTATCTGCTATCCAGAGCTACAACATCACAAAGTTTTGGGACCAAAGGACTCCCTGTGAGGGTATCTTGGTGGCCCAGACATCTGTTGACCAAACAATCAGTCTTGGCACTGAGTGGGTGCCCTCGTCAGCCCAGAATACCACTCCAAGCACTGGAGAGTAACCAACAGGCACTGGGACTCAGCAACAGGTGTGTCATCCTTCATCTGGGCTCCAGAGGGATGGCTAAAAGAACTGAGTGCAGATGGGCCCCCAATCTATAGGAGCACTACTCTGGCCAGAATGGTATTCATTCCTTGTGTTGGTAAGAACTGGAAAGACCAATAGTGTCATTTGTAGAAAGCCTTTGTCATCTCCAGGGTATGTTAGTCTAGGGGCCTGAATGAGAATAGAGGAACATGTGTCAGATCTCAAAGCATTGGAGCAAAGTAGAGATTGTATAGGGTGAAGGGAAGTATGGAATCTCACATGGTTAAAACCTCATTCTGATGGGATGTTTGCCTTTAAGTGCTTTGAATCCTGTATCCCATGTTTTTGAAGGAGAAAGCTTGCTTCCTTTGTTTTCACAGAAATTGAATGCAGATATTTCTGGAAAAAGCCTTAGCAATATGATGAATCATATCCACCTTTATGAGTTTCACAGGAGTACACATGAGTGGGAGACAGCCCCTCTTGAAGAATTTGGCAAAAAAGATATTGTTGTGACTCAATGCGGTGTGGTTAAGGTTACAGCTGTCTATTGAAAAGTGATCCCACACAGTCAGTGAAATCAGCAGCAACCGCAGACAGGTCATTGTCCGGCAACTGAGGGAGCCACTTGAAGGGACCTCACCACATCCCAGGGGCTTTGAAATCAGGAGCTCAAGTTTGGTTCTGCTGAGCAAACCAAACCAGCTATTTATAGTACTTATCTGACTTGAAGGAAATTAGACCAGGCATAAAAGAAATGAGGCAGGTAGTGATGGAATAGATCCCCCATCTGCTGTCTCCACAGTACATCACGGCACAGTGATGTACTGTACACCCGGAAATTCTTCAGGGCACGGGATCTGTCCTGGGCTCTGCTGTGTCCTCAGTGCCTGGCACCTAACAACCTGTGCTCAGTAAGCATTTGTTGACTGACTGATGGATTAAATAAAGTCCAAAGCAATCTTCCTCAAAGTATTGATGCATAACCCATTACTGGGTATATACCCAAAGGAACAGAAATCATTCCATTATAAAAACACATGCATGCATATGTTCATTGCAGTGCTATTCACAATAGCAAAGACGTGGAATCCACCTAAATACCCGTCAATGACAGACTGGATAAAGAAAATGTGGCACTTCGGATAGACATTATGGAATACTATGTAGCCATAAAAAGCAATGAGATCATGTCTTTTGCAGAGCTGTTATCCTTAGCAAACTAAAGCAGGAACAGAGAAACAAATACATGTTCTCACTAATAAGTGGGAGCTAAATGATGAGAACACGTGGACACAGAGGGGAACACATGCTGGGGCCTGTTGGAGGATGGGAGGGAGAGGATAAAAAAAAACTAACAGGTACTAGGCTTAATGCCTCGGTGGTGAAATAATATGTATGACAAATCCCCATGACACAAGGTTACCTATGTAACGAACATGCACCTGTACCCCTGAACTAAATATAAAAGTTAAAAATTTTAAAAATACAGTAAAAAAATGAAAAAAAAAGGATTACTGCATCCTCAAGTGGTTGGAAAGGATTGGGGCTTTTTTGGAGTGGTGGGGGAAATTGGAATATTCTCAGGATGACTGACTTTTAAAAATGAATTTATTTGTAAAATGGTCACCAACTGTGTAGTTTTGTTCTTCTTCTGTAACACAAGACTGAGAAACAGCTTATTTAGCACCCATGCAAACGCCAGGGACATCACGGGATAAATACAGCAGAATGAGTGGCACCCAAACTATTCATTTTCAACAGCCCTTTTCCTTCCTTGCTAAGTGACAGAAGGTCCTGGGAGATCCTGCCAGACTGTTTAACCTGCCTGGATTTTAACTCCTGGAGGGTAGAGACTGTGCGTCTCATTCCCAGCACCCAGCATATTGCCTGACACCAACCACAGCATGTTCAGGGGATCCTTGTTGAATGCTCATGCTCTTGGTCTTTCTCGCCAAGCAAAGACATTGGAGCGTGGGGGAATTTAAGGAGGCCTTTGACAAGGCAGAGCTGGTTAACTGAGCAAAGATTACAACAGAATATCAGAAAAAAAAAATCAGAGGAGAATTTAGAGGAGTAGCAGAGGATATTGACAAAGGGAAAAACACCTGACGAGAGTCAGTAAGATAATGATTATGTGGAGGCAGGAAGAAGACAAAAAGCAAGCAAGAGAACCAGACCCACAGTAAGCACTTATGCTACCTGACTATGGAATAGATTATGGCAGATATAAAAAAAAATGGAGGCCAAGACAGTAGGTCTTTAGGGAAATTCAAAGAACAAGGAAGGTAGAGCTCCCAGTCTCAAAGAGCTCACACACCATACTTTTTCATTAACAACACTTGGACATAGTCTCATAGCAAGAAACAATCATTTAATAATCACGGCCGGGCATAGTGGCTCATGCCTGTAATCCCAGCACTTTGGGAGGCCAAGGCAGGTAGATCATTTGAGGTCAGGAGTTCAAGACCAGCCTGGCCAACATGACAAAACTCTGTCTCTATTAAAAATCAAAAAATTAGCTGGGCGTGGTGGTGCGCACCTGTTATCCCAGCTACTCAGGAGGCTGAGGTAGGAGAATGGCTCGAACCTGGGAGGCAGAGGTGGTGGTGAGCCAAGATCGTGCCACTGCACTCCAGCCTGGGTGAGAGAGTAAGACTCTGTCTCAAATAATAATAATAATAATAATAATAATAATAATAATAATAATCAGGAATTATTATCAGCTCTGATAACTTACATGTTCATATACCTTTTAATACCTATAATATGATTATGTATTTATAACCACATTCCCCTTAATAAACTGCAAGATCATGCAATTGAAACCTCACAAGTATCATATTTAAATTTTGCTTTTGTCATCTTAAAACAAATTGAGACATTAGTACTTTCAAATGAGTATGTCCCAAAATCATCATTATGGATGCTGCTGAAAAATCTCTGGCTCTTCTGAAAAACCATCCATCACTCTCTAACTATAAATGCACCTATACTCTCAGTCTTTGTAGAACAGTGAATCTTGGCTTTTCTGGGGATATCAACATTTTGAAGAGCTAATCAAAAGGTAGGTACTCTCTCTCAAGAAAAAAATGTTTATATAATTGATTTCATTCTAAATGTGTTTTGCTGACATACTCAAATTATACAGAAGTGTACTTATGATTTTCATAAAAAAAATTAAGGTGTACTTCGTAAAATAGAAATTGAATTTAGGGGCTGGGCGCGGTGGCTGATGCCTGTAATCCCAGTACTTTGGGACGCCAAGGCGGGCAGATCACCTGAGGTCAGGAGTTCAAGACCAGCCTGGCCAACATGGGGAAACCCCGTGTCTTCTAAAAATACAAAAATTAGCTGGGTGCATGACTGTAATCCCAGCTACTCAGGAGGCTGAGGGAGGAGAATCGCTTGAGTCTGGGAAGCAATGGTTGCAGTGAGCTGAGATAGAGCCATTGCACTCCAACCTGAGTGACAGAGCGAGACTCTGTCTCAAAAAAAAAAAAAAAGGAACTTAAGATGTATAAAAAATAAAACATTCTGCTCATATTTTGATAAGAAGTGGGATTATTCCACTACACAAAACTCTGTGGTCGTCCCCAGAATCAGAATTCTAAAGCTCACTGTGTCAAAAGAGTCCAAGCTCACATTCATTGGACATCCTTTGCAATTCTTTGAGTTGAATACATACTCCATCACTTCCTTTGCCAACGAAGCGACCTGAGGCAAGGTCTGCCTCTTTGATGTTGCCCTTGAAGGTAAGAATCTTTAAAAGGGAGATGAGTCACAAGCGGAGACCTTACAACGTATGCTGTTAGGAGCCACAGACTTTCTCATCCCCTGACTGGCTCACACTCCCATCCCCCTTGGTGCTAGTTCCCTCCACACCTGAATCCTTGTCTGTTTCCACTCATCAACAGCCTCCCCAACACTGCTCTAAGTAAGCTCCTGGGGAACTGCCAAGGAACTCCCAAGCTCAGTGCAGCCGGGACGAACAGCAAGCAAGTGTGAAGTCCAAACCATTTCCCCCCAGAAGCAACCTTGATGCACTGTTTGGGCTTTGGGTTTTACTGTTTTGCTACTGAAACCATTCTGAACAAGCAGGCTGACTTTGTGACCATCCGTGCTTGTTCACATCAGGAGATGTGCTCCAAGTTCCATACAACCCATAAAAGCTGACTTCGGGAGCACAGTCTCTCTAGAGCCTGGGCTGTGCTTGCCTATGATGCTTTTATACTCACAGTCAATGTGAGTTTCATCCTCATTAGTTTTAATAGAGTTCCAGATGTATTTTATTCCTAACGGAATAAATGTATGATTTATGTCTATCCATGTCCCAAATGTCAGATACAGTAGTTAATGTTAAAAGAAATAAAAATGGAAAAAAAAACTTCTATCCATTTCTGTTTTTTATTTATTTTTACCACTCTCAGGCCAACTTATTTTTAGTTTTTTTTTTTTGACGGAGTCTCGCTGTGTTGCCCAGGTTGGAGTGCAGTGGCACAATCTCGGCTCAGACTATAGACGCCTGCCACCATGCCCAGCTAATTATTATTATTATTATTTTGTATTTTTAGTAGAGACGGAGTTTCACCATGTTGGTCAGGCTGGTCTCGAGCTCCTGACCTCAGGTGATCTGCCCGCCTTGGTCTCCCAAAGTGACTTCTATTTCCTTAATATTTTGTTCTAGGAACAGAGCGGAAAGCTGCCAGGTTTGGGCCAACAAAGCGAATAAAGAAGCTGAAAACATAATGGGATGTCTTCCTTAGAGAGCTAACTCCTCGGCAGACCCTGTCTCCCCAGCTGGGTAAAAGCTGAGCTTTGTTGTGCTACATCCCAACGATTCTCGATTAGCTTTGGCCTTCTCTCCGGCATAGGCTAAGATCCCACAGAACATTAAATTGGCTATGGAAGGAATGTCCTTGGACGCATACAGACTCCAAGAGAATACAACTTCCCATGCATTTTAAAAGCCCAATCACATCACTATTATCTTCACTCTTGGTTGCTAGCTATTGAGAATAAAACTGTGCTTTTAAATCTAGTTAGTAGCATGTGATATACTGAACACAGGCAGGCTGATGTCTTCCCTCTCACATTATTATAATCTAATGGTATTCTGCGGTCCCACAAAAAGAACAAATCTTCATCACAGCAAACTCTCTGTTTGTGGTGGCAAACTCCCAAAACAGTATTGTTTGGCAAAAACAGCAGTGTTTTTAGCAACAAAATCCAAGACAACTGTACACGACAATCTGAAACCAGCACGCTGTGGGCCAATTGAGCATCTGTTACATCTGGCTCCAAACTACCAACTCACAATCTTGATTGTCTTCAGATGTGAAGCAAACAAATCACCCGGGCTATGGGTATTTTATTTTCCTTTATTATTTTATTATATTATTATTTTGCACATAAGTCAGAGATCCAAATTTGTTTGCAAATGTTCTCTGGATATTTGAAGCCCTCTGGATAATTTAGATTTTTTAAAGTTTCTTGTGAGTTTGTTTTTTTAAACCTACTTCAATATTTAGGATGTACATGCCTAAAATACAAGAAATTATTTGTAATCAGATAACACACTTTGGAGTGAAAGTATAACAAACTCCAATTCAAAATGACTTATACAAATATAATAAAGAGTATTTATGACTCACATAACTGAAGAGTCCAGAAGAGAGGCAGAAATTAGGTGTGGTTTGGTGACAACGCTGACTCCACTTACCCATACTGCTGTCACGTTCCACGCGCCTCCTGATAGCTGCGGGCAGCTATTGGGGTTATGTACTTCCTCTTTCCCAACCAGGAGGAGAGGGAGCCTCACCTCTTACCATCTCCAGTTGCTATTTGAGTCTGAACCAGTCATGGTGGTGATTTGAATGCCAGGCACTGATTGGTTCATGCCTGAAGCACCAACCTTAGCCCAACCAATCATTGTGGCCAAAGTAATAGGACATGTTGTTTGGCTTATGCCAATCAGAGCCCACCCATAGAATTGATGGTGGGTTCATCCCACCTGGATGCTCTGTAAAAGGGCAAGAAGAAAAGAGGGGAAGGAGAACTTCACCATAGAAATGAGAAAGAGAGATGATCGACGCTACAGAAGCAGCTAGTGAATGCCTACTGCACCATTTTCCTTAAACAAATAAAAAAGAAATCTGCTTTTTCTTTTAGAATTTTAATAAGGGAACACTACAGGTATATATTTTAAGCATAATACAATGTTTTAAGTGGAAAGAGAAAGACAGAAATGGGATAGTATTTATCAACCCTAAAATAACAATTTTATCAGTATGATAGTGATTAGGAATCCTAGTGTTCTGGGATCCAAGTCCTTGGCTTTATTTATTTTTATTAATTTGTTTTTATTTTATTATTTTTTGAGACAGAATCTTGCTCTGTCACCCAGGCTGGAGTGCAGTGGTGCGATCTTGTCTCACTGCAACCTCCAACTCCCAGGTTCAAGTGATTCTCTTGCCTCAGCCTCCTGAGTAGCTGGGATTACAGGCACAAGCCAGCACACCTGGATAATTTAGTATTTTTAGTAGAGATGTTTTTTTCCATGTTGGCCAGGCTGGTCCTGAACTCCTGACTTCAGGTGATCTGCCCTCCTCAGCCTCCCAAAGTGCTGGGATTACAGGCATGAGCCACTGCACCCTGCCTACTTATTTGCATGTATTTGAGACAGGTTCTCACTCTGGCATCCAGGCTGCAGTGCAGTGGTGCGGTCATGGTTCACCGCAGCATCAATCTCTGGGGCTCAAGCAATCCTCCCACCTCAGCTTCCCAAGTAGCCGGGAGTACTGGTGCACACCACCATGCCCAACTATTTGTTTTTTATTTTTAGTAGAGACAAGGTCTTGCTACATTTGCTACATTGCCCGGGCTGTGTCCCTGGATTTAAATGGTACCTCCATCACTTACTGATTGCGTGACGTTGTGTGAGTCAGTAAACATCTCTGTGTCTCAGTAAATGAGAATAACAACAGTGCCTATAACATAAGGACTGCATTTAATAATACAGGCATTATTGTAAAATAATAATCCCAGCACTTTGGGAGGCGGAGGCGGGCGGATCACAAGGTCGGGAGATCGAGACCATCCTGGCTAACACAGTGAAACGCTGTCTCTGCTAAAAATACAAAAAATTAGCCAGGCATGGTGGCACATGCCTGTAGTCCCAGCTACTAGGGAGGCTGAGGCAGGAGACTCACTTGAAGCTGGGAGGCAGAGGTTGCAGTGAGCCAAGATTGTGCCACTGCACTCCGGCCTGGGCGACAGAGCAAGAATCTGTCAAAAAAACATACAAACATGCAAACAACGACAACAAAAAGAATAAATGAATGAACAAAAAACAAAAATGGTAAGTGCTCCCTGATTATTACCCATCCATTAGAATGTGACCTCTCTATGGATGGGGACTTGGCTTGCCTACTTCACTGCCAGAACTTCAGTGCCTGGCACAGCGTGGCTGCTGTATAATAATGGCTAATAGTTGTGGGGAGAATGAATCAACCTCCTTTCCTCCATCTCTAACTCTCAAAATGAGAGTAAAGAAGAGGAAAGGGTTAAGGAACTCAGAGGGCAGGCGCAGCTGCAGCAAGTTCTTGGTGGAAGGCCAGCACTCAAATCCAGCAGGAATGGGGTTGGGAGTTGTGGATCGGCTTTGAGTGTGATTGGAATAGTGCAGCTGACAAGATCTGGAAGAGAAGAGGTAGTAGTGTTTGTTAAATCTTCCAGCGTGGGCAGGCTTTTGTTTTTTTTCTTTTCTTTTTCTTTTTTTTTGTTGCCTGAGAAGCAAAGGATAAAGATGGATCATCTGGTTCAGTAACACAGTCTTAAAGTGAAAAATCTGGGGGTTTCTGTATGGGAAAAGAGAGAGAGAGGATTCAAAGGAAAAAGACAATAGAGGATTTAATCCAAAACATCTAAAAGCAAATATTGTTTTCGGGGATTTTCAGAGATTCTCTACAAAAGGAGAAAGAGACTGACTACTAAGGAGGAGAGAGATACAACCGTGGAGAGGTTTTATATGTGGGGACTGCATGTCCATCTTAAAAGATGGCTACAGGACTTCCTCATTGACACAGATAAACACACTACATTTTCAGAAGGTCCTGCCCTTCCCCAAGCCTCCGTTTATTCCCAGGCTTCTGCCAACATGTGGCAGAATATTGACTACAAGAATACAAGCCAGGCATGATGGTTCAAGCCTGTAATCCCAGCACTTTGGGAAGCCAAGCTGGGAGGATTGCTTGAACCCAGGACTTTAAGGCTAGCCTGGGCAACATCACGAGACCCTGTCTCTACAAAAAACGTTAAAATTAGCCTGGAATGGTGGTGCATGCCTGTAGTCCCAGCCACTCAGGAGACTGAGGTGGGAGGTTCACTTGAGCTCAGGAGTTTGAGGCTTCAGTGAGCCATAATCATGCTACTACACTCCAGCCTGTGTGACAAAATGAGACTCTGTCTTGGAGAAAGAAAAAAAAAAAAAAGGATAGGACCTATTCAATGAGAAAAAAACAAAAACAAAAACAAAATGCAACTTTGTTCCCAAGATAAAGCAATAAGTATTCTCTTTGGAATATTCAGAGAAACAATATAAAAGGTAAGTTATCTTGGGAGGCCGAGGCGGGCAGGTCACCTGAGGTTGGGAGTTTCAGACCAGCCTGACCAACATGGAGAAATCCCATCTTTACCAAAAATACAAATTTAGCTAGGCGTGGCGACGCATGCCTGTAATGCCAGCTACTTGGGAGGCTGAGGCAAGAGAATCGTTTGAACCCGGGAGGCGGAGGTTGTGGTGAGCTGAGATTGCGACATTGCACTCCAGCCTGGGCAACAAGAGCAAAACTCCGTCTCAAAAAAAAAAAAAAAAGATATCTGTTAGATGTAACAACTACATAATTTAGCATTTTTCTGTAAACATTTTGCTTTAAAATCACTTCAGATTTACAGAAAACTTACAAAATATAATATAGATCATTTCTATATGTATCCTGCCTCAGTATCCCCTGTTGTTATGACTTTACATGTGTATGATACATTCACCACTACTAATGAACCAGAATTGGTATAGTATTATTAACCAAAACTCATGCCTTTTCTTATTCCTCATTTCCAGCAGGGTTGGAAAAGCTCCTGCCTTATTCAGACATTGTTAGTCCTTTTTTCTGTTCTAGAATTCCATCCAGGTTACCACATAACATTTAGTCTTTTTGTTTCCCTAAGTTCCTCTGGACTGTGACAGTTTTTCAAACTTCACTTCTTTTTGATGACCTTAGTACTTTTGAAAAATACTGGTCAGATATTTTGCAGTGTCTCTCAATTCATGTTTGTCTGATGTTTTTCTCTTGATTGGATTGGCTGGTAGATTTGGGGGAGGAACGCTGCAGAGGTCAAGAGCCATTCTCATCACATCATATCTAAGGGTACATTATCAACATGACTTCTCGCAGGTGATGTTAATATTCATCACATGTAGCCCCTCTCCATGACACCCTCTTTGGAAGACAGTCCCTACTACGTATAGCCCACATTTAAGCAGTGGGGAGTTAATGTTCCATCTCCTTGAGGGGGAAGTACCTGTACAAATTTCCTCAAATTCTTCTGTGTGGAAATTTGTCTCTTCTCCCCCCATTTATTTATTTTTTAATGACTTAGTTAAATCAGTATGAATTCATGGATATTTATTTTATATTTTAGGTTATAATCCAGTTCTATATTATTTTTTGTTGTTCAAGCTGTTCCAGCTCTGGCCATTGGGAGCTCCTTTGGTTGACTCCTGTGTCCCTTTGAAATACCCCATCGGTTTGTTTCTTGAGCTCTCCCTTTTTTTCTACATTACAAGACACACCAGGTTAAACTTGTATATTACCTGCCCCAGCCCTAGAATAAGCCATTCCTCTAAGGGACCTGGATCCTGTTTTTGGAGAATGGTATTAGAAACCAAGATCTGGGTCCCGGGTGTGCTTGTTGCTACTGGAGTGTTGCTGTTTCTAGGCCCACTCAGTGGTAGCACTTTTTTTTTTTCTTTTTTTAAGAGACAGGGTTTCACTCTGCCATGCAGGCAGGAGTGCAGTGGCGTGATCATGGCTCACTGCAACCTCAAACTCCTGAGCTCAAGCCATCCTTCCACCTCAGCCTCCAGAGTAGCTGGGACAATAGGCCAAGCACCAGTGCACATGACTAATTTTTTTTTCCTTCTATTTTGTGTAGAGATGGTGTTTCACTATGTTGCCCAGGCTGGTCTTGAGCTCCTGTGCTCAAGTGATCCTCCCACTTTGGCCTCCCAAATTACTGGGATTATAGGCATGAACCACTGCATCTGGCTGGTAGCACTTGTTTTAATACCCCTTATTTTGAATTTTCAAGGTCTGATGGTAGTGCCTTGTCTCGAACTTACAAAACAGAAATAGAATAATCAAAAACATAGACATTCTGTGATTTACCTTAGGTGTTGCTGCTTAGCAGACATGGAACTTCCTGCAAGTTGCTTAACTCCATCAAGCCAAGGGCTTATCATTTTTAAAATGAGAATACTTTAAAACATATTAAATGATATGATGTCTATAAAGGATAAAATAAAACACCAAGCTCATGACTGATAAACATTAGCAACCCCTTAGTATAAAAGGGTCACTCATTCTTTCCTCACTTTGGACCTTTCACAAGAAATAATTGCTTTGGTAAATATGTTTCTCCACATGTAAAATCTAATGCAAGAGTCACTTGACTTATTTATTGAGATTCTGTCCTGTATTTCAAATCAACTACAGGTTGAGCATCCCAAATCTGAAAATCTGAAATCTAAAATGCTCCAATGACTATTTCCTGTAAGTGTTGTGCTGGTGTTCAAAATATCTTTTCTTTTGGAGCCTTCCAGATTTCAGATTTTCAGATTTGGGTTGTTCAATCAATAAGTATAATGCAAATATTCCAAAATCTGAAAAAATTTAAAATCCAAGACACTTCTGGTCCCAAGCATTTTAGATAAGGAATACTTAATCTGCATGGAACAATGCCACATGGGTGTATAAATGTTACATCAAATTCAAAACATTTAAAACGAAATTATTTTTGTTAAACCAAGTCTCACATTAGGATTTTACATTTCTAATGGAAGCACAATAATTCACTCATGTTTTTCCAACTCAAAGTCTTTAGCTTTTGGTAATGTCAAACTAGATATTTCAGACTAACACTCTTGCTGTGAACAACTAGAAAATACTTACAAAGTATTTCTTCAATGTTCTTAGAGACACAAGAGCATTTATTTATCAGTCACTACAGAAATTGTAAGGCCAGTGTCCAAAGGAAGGAGGAAATTCAGAGTTAGGAGCCAATACTTGGAGTTATTTTTATCTGTAAGAAGCCTCTATACTTCTACTGAAATAAAGTACTTGGAGATGGGGGTGGGAAGGGCTTGTGGCACTAGAGGGAGAAAAATTGTAATCCAGGGTCTTGAAAGGATTCAGTGATAAATACCTCACACTTGGTCTATGGTCTAGGACAAAAGATGAATGGGAAATAGATGGGCCCTTCCAGCAAGTAAAGCCCACATTCAAACCAACTCAATCCTTGACAATTGACTAAAGTGGTTGCATAGTATTAGTGTTCATGGCAACTTGCCAGAAGTAAGTGTTAAACTCCATCTGGAAGAAGGTGGCATCATTCTAGGCTTAAATTTGTCATATATTTTTTTCATACCTGGGATCTAATATTTAATGTTTTAAATGTTCACAAGATAATGTGAACAAAACTCAAGAGAAACAAGAGAAAATACAAACATACCCCACCCCAGAGTGCACACAATAGACACAGTAACAGACATATCTTTAAAATAACTCTGAAAATGTTCGTGAAATAAAAAACAATGTTTAGAATTTTGGCAGAAAATTGGAAACTGTAAAAATAAAACAGCCTGTGGAAATTCTATTTAGGATATGCAAACTAAAATTTAGAACTTGATGGACTGATTGAGCAGCACATTAGTCAGAATTATAAAGATAAATCAGAAGAAAATATTGAGATAAAACACATAAATGAAAAATATAAAAGTCAAAATATGAGCTATACTATGAGGTTGTCTACTATCTCAGTTGGATTCTCAAAAGATCAGAGATATAATGAGACAGAAACAATATTTGAAGAAATAATAGTTGAGAATTTTTTAAAAACTATGAAAGATAGTATTATCCCACAGATACAAGAAGTTCTATACCTCAAGAAGAATAAATAAGAAAATCACAACTAAGCACATTGTATTAAAATCATGAAAAGTCAAGGGCAAAGGGAAATATTAAAAGCAGGCAGTTTTTAAAGAATTACCTTCAAGGTCACCGTTAGACTGACAGTTGACATCTTAACAACAACAACAACAACAACAAAATAGAAACCAGAAGGCAATAAAATGATAACTTCAAAGTAAAATCAATCAATAAAAATTGTCAATCCCAAATTTTATACACAGCAAAACTGTTCTCCAAGGATGCAAGTGAAATGAAGCCATTTTCAGACAAACCAAAACCAAAGGAATTCATCATCAGTAAACCCCAACAAAGACTAATGGACATTCTTCAGGCAGAGGGCAAAAGACCACAAATGGAAACTCAGAAATTCAGGAAAGAATGAAGAGCAAAAAACAGAGTAAATATGTCAACAAATGTAAATAAATATTGTTTGTCTAAAGTAATAATAACATGGAATTACATTTTTGAGAATTAACATATATGATAACAATAGCATATAAGCTGGGAGGGGATAAATGGCCTTAAAGTATCCAAAAGTCTCTGAAATTTTCTGAAAAGAAATGAAATGTTGATTTATAGTAGAATTTAAGATGAAGTAAATTTGCATCTTTAAAAGACTGGTAAAAAAGTATGAAATTATAAAGCTAATAGAGGAAACAATGAAATAATAAAAATACCAGTATAAAATAAGGCAAGAAAAGGGAACAAAAGAATACAGAGTGAGCAGAACAAAGTAAATAGTAAGATAGTAGATTTAGATTTAAAATCTATTAATAACTATATTAAATGTAAATTTACCAAATGTTCCGATTAAAAGGCAAAGACTAACAGATGGGGTAAAACAATAGAATCTACCTGTGAGTTACTTAATACAGTCACATCCAGATTAAAAGATTAAACACAAACAGCACTAAACAGTACCTTATGACATAGCAATTCCATGCCTAGATATATTCCCAACCAAAATGCATGCAGATGAGTACTATGAGACATACGCATAACTGATCATAGCTGTACCATTTATAGGAACCCCCAAATGGAAACAATCCAAATGTCCATGAATAGGTAAATGGATAAATCATGATGTATTTACACAATGCAGTAGTACTTATCAATATAAAATAATGAACCAGTGATACAAACAGTAATATGGACGAACCTTAAAAACATTAAATAAAAGAACAAGGCCTGGTGCGGTGGCTCACACCTGTAATCTCAGCACTTTGGGAGGCCAAGGTGGGTGAATCATGACGTCAGGAGTTCAAGACCAGCTTGGCCAAGTTGGTGAAACCCCCATTTCTACTAATAATACAAAAATTAGCTGGGCATGGTGACGGGTGCCTATAATCCCAGCTACTTGGGAGGCTGAGGCAGAGGACTGCTTGAACCTGGGAGGCGGAGTTTGCTGTAAGCCAAGATCGCACCACTGCACTCCAACCTAGGCGATAGAGTGACAGAGTGAGACTGGGTCTCACAAAAAAAAAAAAAAAAAAAAAAAAACCACAAAGGAGGTTCATACTGTAGGATTCCACTGATATAACGTTCAACACAGATTAAACTGAGCTATGCTTTGTAAGTCAGGATAATCAAGTTTGAAGAGAAGAGAGGGGTATGATGGTAAGTGGTACTAGGGGAGCTTTGGGACACAGGGAGTATTCTATTTCTTGATTTGGGTGGTAGTTACGGGGGTATTATGCTTTGTGAGAATCCATTATGCATTATATTTATATTGTGTGATTTTCTTGTATTTGTTGTGCTTCAGGGTTTTTTTTTAAGTTTAAAATTAAAAGAAAAACATCTCTTGCTTGCTCTTCCCTCTCTTTCCTGCCAGCTAGTCACAGAGCTCACTTAAATCTTCCTTCACAGCCATCATATCTGCCCATCTCCATTGCATTGCACCATCCTAATTCTGACCTTTATTTTTCCACATACAAATACAAGTATGTAATAACTATTTTCTATTTTTCCCTCATTCACATAACTGTCAGATTAATGTTTCTAAAACATTTGTTACCCCCAAAATACTAGAAATAATGTGGTAACCCCTCTGCAACCTGCTACAGTATTCCACCCTTATCTGCAGGGTACAAGTTCCAAGATCCCCAGTGGATGTCTGAGACCACGGATGGTACTGAACCCTATATACACTTTGTTTTTTCTATACATACATGCCTATGATAAGGCTTAATTTAAAAATTAGACACAGTAAGAGATTAAAAACAATAGTAAATAATAAAATGGGAAAATTTTAACCTACTGTAATACAAGTTATGTGAATGTGGTCTCTCTCTCTGAAAATATCAGTATTTTCAAACTGGGGTTGATTGGCAGTAAGTGAAACTGCATTACTGCATTACTGCATTACTGAAACTGTAGGCAAGGGGGGACTGCTACATTACCAGAGGAGTATTAACTGAGAAGGCTTGACCAAGACAGCAGGGAACTGTACTCAAGAGTATGACAATATCTAGGCTAAGTTCTGGCAAATAGTGAGTGCTTGACCCTGGTGAAGGGCAGGTACGTGTGGACAATCGAAAGCAAGCAATAACATTATGCCATTAGCAATCCATAGCCAATTAGAAATGTAAGTGACAATACTAGCTAACACATTGCTTTTCCTATGGAATCTTACATAGATTTATATATTTTAATTCATTTAGTCCTCACAAGTCCATGTGACACATTGTTAGCACAGGTTGAGTATCCCTTCTCTAAAATGCTTGAGGCCAGAAGAGCTTCAGATTTTGGAATTTGGGGGGCTTTTGGAATATTTGTATATATGTAATGAGATATTTTGGGATGAGACTCAAGTTTAAACATGAAATGCATCTATGTTTTATATACACCTTATACTCACAACCTGAAAGTGATTGTATTTTTCCTTTGGGAATACTGAATAAGCTGTGTTATGCAACTGCGTTTTGACTGTGATCCATCACATGGGATCAGGTATGGAATTTTCCACTTATGATGTCATGTTTCGTGCTCAAAAAGTTTTGCATTTTTGAATATTTCAGATTTGCGATTTTTGGATCAGAAATGTACCTATAAAATGCAACCTGTACCTGTATTTTACAAATGGGGAAACTGACGGATAGAGATGGTAAGTAACGTGCCCAGCGTCCTACAGGTAGGTGGCAAAAACAGGCCAGGGAAGTAAGTATCTGGCTTTAGAATCCATGCTCTTAATGGTCATGCTCTTCTGCCTCTCCGAGGATGAACAGCACTGGTTTCCAAGCAGAATCACACCGTAACTACACTGGGCAGGATTTAGAGCTCAAGAGAGAAAGGCTCATATGTTTAGAGTTCATCTCTCACCTCCCACAAGTGAGATGCAGATGAGTAAGGTCAGACAGTGACTGAAAGCTAGATAGACCATCCTGACCTTCCTTTGAAAAGAACTACAATTTGGATCCCTTCTGTCTCTGGAATTACCATTATTTTGCTGACTTGGTGTGATCATATGTAGTGGCAAATAGTTTTTCAGGAATTTTGTAGGAAGTCACTCTAACATCTACTTTGAGCAAGTCCAACAGGCAAATTGAAAAATGGGCTAAGTTCAATCCATTTGGCTTATTTTTTTTCTCCTTCCAGTAATGCTACTTGGCGTCTTTTTTCTTTTTGAGAATATTTTAACTTTCATCTGCTGGTTTTAATTTAACTTGTCATATTTCTATTTTTTTTGTACATGGGACCAGAGGCCTTTGGGAAAAGAACCCACTTTTTAATACATTAACACAATAAAAACAAGGAAGATCAATTTAAGTCAATGAGTTACGTTTTAGGCAAGCTCAGTAGAAGACAGGAATTCACTTCCAACTTTCAAGTTGTTCGAAGACTTCTAGCTCTAAAAACAGGCTAAGGCATTCTTACACGGAGATAATTAAAATGGTCAAGGCCATCGTCTTGGATAACTTAGGAAGATGCCATCATGGAGACTGTTACATGATAAGTAAGAGGCCTTTTTACTAAGTTACATAGAGAACAAAATGCAGATGCCATGGATGGCATGTGGCATTTTATGGGGGCAGTAAATGTCTTAACTTGTGTATTAGTCTCTTTTCATGCTGCTGATGAAGACATACCTGAGACTCGGTAATTTATAAACAAAAAGAGGTTTAATGGACTCACAGTGCCACGTGGCTAGGGAGCCTCACAATCATGGCAGAAGGTGAAAGGCACTTCTTACATGGCGGCAGGAAAGAGAGAATGAGGACAAAGTGAATGGGGAAACCCCTTATAAAACCATCAGATCTCATGAGACTTATTCACTACCATGAGAACAGTATGAGGGAAACTGCCCCCATGATTCAATTATCTCCCACTGGGTCCCTCCCACAACATATGGGAATTATGGGAGCTACAATTCAAGATGAGATTTGGGTGGGGACACAGTGAAACCATATCAACTTGGTCCGATGTGCTCAGATGAATTCTGCTAAGATTGAACTTCTCTAAATCAGTGGCCCCAGACAAGCCATAGAATTCCTTGTCTTCCAGATCTGGGTAAGGAGTGTTACGATCACAGGCATATATTTTTTAAGTCATGCCATGAACAGTTTGTTTTATTCTCTGGCTTAACTCATGGCTTTAGTCTTCTCTGATGAAAAATATCTCATAAAGCCTTCCCCGTCTTACCTCCAGCCCCATCATTCTCTCACACCACACCCCGTTAGTTTCAATCCTGGCATTTATCCATCTGGCATTTATCCATTTAATTACATTCTGCTCAGTTTGCTTGATTGTTCACCACCTAGCACACCTCACTAGACTGTATGCTCATGAAGGGAGGAACTATATCTTTTTAGCTTAATACTGCATCACCAGAGCTTGCATGGTGCCTGAGACAAAATTGGTGCCCATATTTGTTAAAAGGATAAAAACAATGAATAAGTAAATCAAAATCAGGAAGCCAAGTGAGGTTGAGCAGGACATAGTCTTTGCATGGATCACAGTGACAACTAATTTGGACTTTGTCATTAGTTGGGAAAATATTATTTTTATTTTCATGGGACACTTTCTCCCTCCGAGTCTCCCTGCCTGTCTTCCTTCCTTCCATCTTTCCTTCCTTCTCCCTTCCTTCTTTCCCTCCTTTCCTTCCTCCCTCCCTCCCTCTCTCCCTGCCAGTGTTCCTTTGTTCTTTCCTTCTTTCATTCCTTGCTTCCTTCCTTTCCTCCCTCCCTCCCTCCCTTCCTTTCTGTTTCTTTTTTTCTTTTTCACCTAATGATTTGCAAAGCTATAACAAGGAAATAAAAATCTTAATAAATGTGGGAGAGATTAAATCAATGTTTGTAAACTTTTTAATAAAAAATATTTTTAAAATCCATTTGTAAGAATTATCAAAATTGTAAGGCCAAAGCATTTTTCACAAGGAAGGTTTGTATTATTCCTGGAAAATCCCACACACTTGAATAAGATCACAGACACTAGAGGGCAGTCCTAGACACCCTGTGGTTCTCCTAAAGGCAAACTAAGCACAGCAACTTAGCCTGGGGTTTTAAACACACTGTTATCAATGCATCAGTTGCTCCGGCCTTCACCCGCTTCTGCAACTGAAGGACTTCCCCACTTATTTGTAGGAGGCATTGGGTGTGTCATCTGAGTCCTGTAGCCTCCCCCAGGAGCTGAGTAAAGTGGTGTCTGGCTGCTTTAGAAGCCTATACCTCCCTGATTGTCCAGAACCACATCTATTGCTGCTGTTACCTGGGGTCCATGAAGGTGCCTGCAGCCCTGTGTTCACAGACGCCTACACTTTCAAGTCCTGGGGCGTGCACGGGTGGGAAGAATGCACCACTTCTCATCTTGCCCTTTTTGCCGAGGACCAGGGTGGTGCTGCTCTGAACCCTAGCACTTTATGGTGACTCAGTTTTTTTGTCATAAAATAAAAACCTTGAACATTCCTGCAGGCCCTCTCCCCACCCCCCACCCTTTGCACTGGACTCCAACATGAGTCCCTTGGGGAACTGGAATTCTCAATTGCCAGACTCCTAATTTACGGCTTAGATGCTATGAGTTCCCTTCTCCTCTCAAAAGTTTCCTGTAGTCCTTTTGGCCAATAGTTACTAAATGATCCAGCCCACCAACCCAACACACATGTGTAGGTCTTTCAGCATACTGGAGTGAACTGACCCTGTGGAAACATGTAAATCACTCAAGATCCTGATTACAAACTCAGCCCTCTCCACCCACAAGGGCTGTGAATCTCAGGAAGATTTATCCTCAAATGTCAATGCTTTGGAAGAACATAGCTTTCCACAGTTACCTTCCCTTTGGAGGAAGAATTCTTTTACTTTTATTTTTGTTTAAAGCAGAGCTGCTTTTCAAGGCTTGTTCTAAAAAGAGATCAAACTGGAGTCTGGTTTTGACTAGTGGGAATTTTCCTTCAGCTAAACCAACTGTTGGCTGTGCTTGAACTCCCGCCAATACAGGGGCCAGTGCTACAGCACTTTTAAGTTAAAAGTGGCTAATAAAATCATGAAGGAAAACCATAAAAGAGAATTACAAACAAAATCATCAAAAAGAAAAAAAAATGGTTTTACTATGGGTGAAATTCACCCTCCAGGGACCGAATAGAAAATTTGCAGACATAAGCTGATGTCAGCAGAGACACCTGACACATTTAAAAGTCTTTTCCCCTCAGTAAGTTTAACCATCCAGTTTCTACTAATCAGTTGTTTCTAATATTGCAGGAAAGCTGAGTTCAGTTGGGCAGAAAAAAAATCTGACATAACCTCAATTATCCATTTTCTAAGTAGAGACTGAAAAGCTACCTTCCATTCCTGGTGCATTGATTTTTAAAGCTGATGGAGCCTCCGAGCACACATTGCATTCACACTGGCTTATTCTGTAAATAGTTTAAAATATTTGAAATGTGGTTCTATTAATGAAATAATTATATTGACACTTTCACACCTCTTGATTTTAAGGCATGATCATATCACATAAAGAAATAGATTGAAACACAATCAGAAATAATAATTGGTCATTAAGTTAGACATGTTTTTGATTGAAAAGTATGCACTAACTGGTTAAATGGTCTGGCATTTCTATTTTTAAGTACTTCGTACATGGCTACAACTCAGACATCATTTTTTTCCCCTGTGGTACTCTTTACTTGTTTATTTTTGGAAAGTTTGGGCCAAATCTGTTCCATCTTTGACCTTTGGGTTCTTTTCTTTTCTTTTTAGGGAAAGAACTATGTATACCTTTCCCAGTACGAAGCATACACATATGCTCACATGGATGATAAACAACTCGCAGACTTGCTTTTCTGACAAATAAATCAGTGCTGGTAGATCTTTAAAATGTCAAACTTCTCATTCAGCATGAGACCTGTCACTGTCCATGTGTTTTTTTGACGAGTCCCCAGATCTTACCAATTGGCATGGTTCCCGTATGTCAGAATGATGAAATGTACAAGACACCTATTCAGACTTATCCCTTCTCTACAATTATTGCAATTGGGTATTTTTTTTTTCCTGGCTTCTTGGAAGGTTTACTACTCTCCCAGGCTTTTGGCCTCCCAGGGAGGTCAAAGAGCTTGGAGTTAGTTTGCGTTCCCTCCAAAACACCAAGGTGCAGCCAAACCTTTTTCCACGACCTCTCGGAAAAGTACACAGCAGCTTTATGCCATCTCTCAAGGACTAATCATAGGCATGCCCAGAGGGCAGCCCAGAATAGCTTACTACCTCTAGAAAGGTGGCTTCTCATTATTATCATGGCTTTAAAACCTGATTCCTTATAGATCTAGTAGCATGAGGAACTGGTTTTGGCATTTGATAGGGTTAAAATAGTACGACTTACTTGCCCTGTAAACATGCATATTATTTTACCTCCCCAAACTTTAATGTCCTCATCTGTAAAGCAGAAAGTGACCATATTAAGAATATAGACTTATGTAAGTCAACAGCAAGTATGTTTTAGAACACAGAAATAAGAATATACCTAATTATGTGTCAGTAAACAGATTTTTTTTCCCTTATCTACTCTATTTTTGTTGTTGTTGTTTTGAGACAGAGTCTCACTCTGTCACCCAGGCTCGAGTGCACTGGCATGATCTCGGCTCGCTGCAACCTCCGTCTTCCAGATTCAAGCAATTCTCCTGTCTCAGCCTCCTGAGTAGCTGGAATTATAGGCATGTGCCACCACACCCAGATAATTTTTGTATTTTTAGTAGAGAGGGGATTTCACTATGTTGGCCAGGCCGGTCCCAAACTCCTGGCCTCAAGATGATCCACCAGCCTCTGCCTCCCAGAGTGCTGGGATTACAGGCATGAGCCACCATGCCCAGCCTCTCACTCTATTTTTGAACAAAAAGACTAAAAAGTTTAAGAAATATGCCAAGGAAGTAAGCAAGTGGGTACAACATGGGATACCCTGGTGATGTGCTTCTCTATGCAAATCAAAGCATTGTGTAATATATAGCTAGTTCCACCTAGTAAGTCAGCACACAGGTCAGGTGCATGTCTAGGATCATTCTATCACCTTCTGCCTATTTAGATGGTTCTCATCCATCTCAGGCTAGCTTGCAATAGGACAGATTTCCAAATTTCAGCATGCCAGTGTCAGGAAATGATTGAGTTGAGGTTATTTTTCTAACCTCAGTGTCCAACACAGTTGTCAGCATTCCTATTTGTATGCTGCCCATGAATTCCTCATTGAAAATTACTGAAGGGAACACCACTTTGATGAACAATAGTAACTTGATCAGAGTAGCAGACTCTGCGTTCAAAGCAAATGAACTTTTAAAATGAGAAGCAAGTCTTCTACCATCTACTCCTAAGTCTTTACCTGGGAAAGGAATACTCAGGAAATTATCCAGACGTGACAATTTGCCAGGGAAATTTTTGATAGCTTATTTATTTGTATTATTTTTACAGGGGCATGACAAGTAAAGATATAACATTCAGATCAGTCTACTGAGTGGGTTCTGATGTAAGGGAGACAAGAAGTCCAGCTTTTCAGTAAGTTCAGAGATTTTTTTCTCTGGATAGACCCTCAAATCAATGGACAGACTGACCACTCCCGAAACTGCCATCTACATTGCTAATCGCAGGCTAGTAACTCAAATCAGTGAGCCCAGCACCTAACTCACCTTCTACTTCCCCAATCTGCTGTCCTAGCCCACTGCTACCGTTCGCTATTCTTCTTTTCTAGGTTAATACCTTGAGACACCTTGAATTTTTTTTGAGATGGAGTCTCGCTCTGTTGCCCAGACTGGAGTGCAGTGGTGCAGTCTCGGCTGACTGCAATCTCGGCTGACTGCAAGCTCCGCTTCCTGGGTTCAAGGGATTCTCCTCCCTCAGCCTCCTGAGTACCTGAGTAGCTGGGATTACAGGCACATGCAACCACACCCAGCTTTTTTTTTTTTTTTTTTTTTTTTTTTTTAGTAGAGACGGAGTTTCACCATGTTGGTCAGGCTGGTCTCAACTCCTGACCCTGTGATTCTCCCGCCTCGGGCTCCCAAAGTGCTGGGATTACAGGCGTGAGCCACTGTGCCCAGCCTGTCCCTTTTCTTTAGCATTTGTGGCCCTCCCCTCCCTTCTGTTAACCAGCTTGAGGTCCTCGCCTCCCAGTGCATCTAGGCAACACCTACTTTGCTTTCCCTTCCTTCCAACAACTACCCCCCACTCCCCACCCCTAAACTTTTGGAGCCCCAGAAGGTATGTCCCGTCTCTGCTCTAGAACTGGCTCCCTTTGCCTCAATAAATGTTATTGTTATTAAGATCCTCTTCCTGAAGATCCAGTCAACCCTATTTCCCACCACTTCCTAACCCACCCCTTTTATTCCAATCCCATGCACAACCATTTAATCTCTGTCTTTTCTAAGTATTAATACCTTCCCTCAACTTCTCCCCCCACAGTGCCCAAATGTAAGCCCCGTATTCAAAATCCTACGTAAATGTACATCTGCCACCAAATCCTCTTACATGCTTCAGAAAAAACTTAGCTCTTCTGTCTCTAAACTTCATATCTGTTTAACCTCGGCTCCTTCCGGTTTCATGCTGACCTGTTTTGTTTAATGTTAACGAATGACCATATGTTATGTAAAGGGATCTATACTCCTTTCTCTTCTCTGTCCTCCCCTACTCAAGCCTCACGTCCTCTCCGACACAGGAGACATGGGAAGAGATTGACAACACCCACGGATCAGAACCGAAATCTGAACTCCTGTAGACTGTGAACTACACCTTCTACCCCCGCAGAAAGTAAACTGTAAATTCCAACATTCTTAACTGCGCCAAACTTCATCACAATTACACAGGATGGAGATTTACTACTAAGTCATTTAATATGCCCAAGATGCCTTTAAGAAAGATTTAAATAAAATCTCAAGGGCTGGGCAAGGCGGCTTACCCTGAAATCCCAGCACTGTGGGAGGCTTAGGTGGGAGGATCGCTTGAGTCCAGGAGTTCAAGACCATGTTGAACAACATGGTGAGACCCCCATCTCCTTAAAAAAAAAAAAAAAAAAAAAAAGAAGAAGAAGAAGAAGGAGAAAGAAAGAGAAACAAAGAAAGAAAAGAAATTTTAAAAGTCAACTCGAGGTGGCAGGACGGCTTGAGGCCAGGAGATCGAGACCAGCCTAGGCCACATGAGCAGACTCAGTGTCAACAAAAAAAAATTAGAAAATTAACCAGGTGTGATGTGTCATCTGCAGTACCAGCTAATCAGGAGGCTGAGGCAGGAGGATCGCTCGAGCCCAGGAGTTTGAGATTTCATTGATCTATGATAGCACCATTGCACTCCAGCTTGGGCGAGAGAGAGACCCTATCTCTAAAAAGAAAAAAAAAATAAATAAAACAAAGCAAACCAACCAAACAAACAAAAACAAAAAATTCACACATGCACACACACAGGCGCGCGCGCACACACACACACACACACAGACACCCAACAACAAAAACAAAAAAAAACCCTCGAGGCTTTCTTGTATATGAGTTAGCTCTGCCAGGAGGTGGGGTGGACTTAGGGGAGGAGAGGGTTGTTGCATTTCAACTTTAACTCTCATCACAGACGTGCAAAGCCGTGAACGCTGAGGTCAGGCTGCAGAGGTGATGAAGAGATAATTGCTTTGCCCCTCCTGGTGGTGGGGTTGGTTTTCACATTCTCCATCCAAGCTGCGCCTTTGACACAACTGGAGCAAGCTCTCGCTCCACCTGGGGCATTGCTTCTAAAGCAATAAATAGCTTGAGGTGACAGAGACGAAACTGATTGTCCTTGAGATGGGACTGCAATAGAAATCCGGGCAGCCCGAAGAGGCACCCAGCGCTCCAGCCACCAGCTGGGCCGCCCGGGAGTCCCTGGCTCTAGACCAGCCGCGAGGAGGCGCCGCGAGAGAGCTGGTCCCTGCCCGCGGCCGGAGGAGGGCTAGAGCCCCTGGGCCAGCCCCCCGAGCCGGCTGGGCGGGCGGGCGGGTGGGAGCAGACGCCGGGCACTGTCACCACGGGTGCGCCGAGCGCACCGACCCGGGACACGGGCAGCTGGGGACCGCCAGATTCCACCAGCCCCCCTTGCCCCGCAGGGGTCCTCGGCTCGCGCTCCTGGGTAGCAGCCACCCACCGGGGCGGAGGGAGATGTCGCCCGGGGCCAGCCGCGGTCCCCGGGGAAGCCAGGCGCCGCTGATCGCGCCCCTCTGCTGCGCCGCGGCCGCGCTGGGGATGTTGCTGTGGTCCCCCGCCTGTCAGGCGTTCAACCTGGACGTGGAAAAGCTCACAGTGTACAGCGGCCCCAAGGGCAGCTACTTCGGCTACGCCGTGGACTTCCACATACCCGACGCCCGCACGTAAGTCGCCCGACCCGGGGAGGTGCGCGCGGGGACGAAGGCGCTCCCGGGTCAGGTCCCAGCGGCTCTGCCGCGGAGTCCCCCCGCAGCCTGGGATCCCCGTCCTGCCGCCTGCCCGGGGTCCCGTCCCTCTCCCCGCCACCAGCCCCTTCTCTCCCCTGCCATGCTAGATGTGCCTTGTGAATTTTGAGCTAGAGACATGCCACTTGCATAGAACACGCAAGTCCTGGGTGTTCCAGGTACCAAGACGCACGCATCCTACAAAGGAGAGAACAGGACCCAGAAGACCCAAGCCAGTTAAAACCGCCACCACAGCGAGGTCTGTTTATGCAGAGTCTGTAACCATTGCGTCTGGGCGCAAGAGCTGTCGGCTACCAGCAGCTGGGCTCTGTCCTTGGCTTCCTCCTACCCCACCCCCTTCTCTCATCTCACTGTACCCACAGAGCTCCACCTAGAGAAGCAGGACCGTTTGCATTCTTGCAAACCAGGTTGCGGACCCCCGTTTCCAAGAGGAAATCAAGTTTGACAGTCGGTCCTCATCATAAATACGTTCATGCCCTCCACGCCTGCCCCAGTGTCCCCGGGCAGGAGGTTACAGAGACTGCATTGCATGCGCACGGTTTTGTGGCGCCCAAAGAGTGACTTTCTCCAACTCTTTTGCAGAGCGAGTGTCTTGGTGGGGGCGCCCAAAGCCAACACCAGCCAGCCCGATATCGTGGAAGGGGGAGCCGTCTATTACTGTCCTTGGCCCGCGGAGGGGTCTGCGCAGTGCAGGCAGATACCGTTTGACACCACCAGTAAGTGAGATTTGTCCTTCTAAGCTGTGGGCCTGGGTTTGGAAGAACCAGGGCCATCCCAGAGGCGACTTCCCGCTGTCTTGGTGTGCTGCTCGTTTAGCTTGTCTGATATG
The DNA here is from genome assembly GCF_000001405.40 of Homo sapiens. Classification (NCBI taxonomy): domain Eukaryota; kingdom Metazoa; phylum Chordata; class Mammalia; order Primates; family Hominidae; genus Homo; species Homo sapiens. The sequence continues at coordinate 15,718,652 of NC_000010.11, read as the reverse complement.
TCCGTATTGTGGGCTATGTGGGTCTCTAGAGAAATCAGTTTTTTCAACTCTCAGTTAACTGAAGGAAGACGTTTAGTGAACCCTAGAGAAAGGACACTATTTTGACCCTGAGTGTTCGGATGCATCCTGGCAACTCCTGTTTCTTTACCTTTCTGAGATGAGCATTTTCAGGGTGAGTGGATGTTTTGGAGAAATACAAAAACTATGTCCTAACTTTGACTGTGGAGAGAATTTGGTTGCTTCTCAAGGACAGATCTGGAAAAAGAGAGATCCTTAGCGTTTCCAGTGCCCAAGCTCGGGAGGCAGGACTTAGCTGCTGCAGACCCAGACATCACTCCGCGTTGCTGTTTAATTCTTTACAGAAAGAAAGAATTTTCTTTCAAAGTATTAGACATTGAATGCAAACTAGTGCAGGCAGAGTGTGGATGGATTACATTCATTTCCAAAATCCCTAGACAGATGTTTCTTATTTAATTAAAGGGAAAATACATTTTAAACAATTCAGTCTGGTTACGTTTCCTCTGGTGTTTTCTCTTTAGAGCCTGAGAAAATAATTTAAATGCGATGCTTTCAAAAACATTAACACCGAATGCTTTAATTTTTACCACCAAAACTTTATGAATTCAAAAGGTATATATTATCAGAAAGCAAATATCTCTTTCCAGAAAAATGCGAATATGTCAGCTTGAACAATGGTCCTTGATAAATAATCGTTTAAAATACCTTGTGTACCACACAACTATTTTATGACATACTTGATTTCTTTGATTTTTAATTGTTTGATTAGTGCGTATATGGAATTTATGCGGAATATTTTCACAGAATTTCGATGAAATTGGCTGGATGATGTTTACTTGTTACTATAATTTGTATCTTTTATGTTAAAGGAGAAAACAATTTCAGTTTCATAAATATGAAAATATTTCAAAGCAAAACAGACTATACAAGCATTACCTTGAATTATGACCAAATTAGGAAAGTATTTTATAAAAGCATTGGAAAATTATATTTTTATCATGCCTGTCTATATATGGTCACAATAGCTTATCATTTTATTAAATATTCTGTTATTTTATACCAGTTTTTATAAGCTTTTACTTTTAAATTTGAGTATTAGCAACCAGGAAGATTAAACCTTTTGATGTTAATTTGTGACAGAAATCTTTTAATTAGTTATTTTATCAAGACTTGAGACACTTTCTAGCTACTGCTCTCTAGTTTAAGAATAAGCTTCGTAAACCAAAAGAATTAAACATTTAAACACAAAATTAATGCCATTTTAATAATTCATATCCGAATCATTTGTATTTTTAAAAGTATTTTAAAGCAGGCCAAATAAAGACATGAATCATTAACATTATTTGAATTTACATTAAGGAAAGTATATTTTGAGACATGGTTGATGTGTTTTCACCAAGAAGCAATTTATGGTCGTGGAAAAGAATTTAATAATCTTCTTGTATAGTCTCATAACATCAAATCAGGATCTGATTAGTATTTTTTTCTTTTGATAAAGGAAGAATCAATGTCTGCCCTGATAAGTTACAACTGACTTACTTTGTAAGTACTCATCCCAATAGATGTCATAGGCCAACAGATTAAAAACCAGAGAATCCAGATGTCAACTATGAATTCAAAAAATAACTGACCACTCCTAACTGAAAATTTTCAATATTAAATTACAATAGGTAGGCCAGGCGTGGTGGCTTATGCCTGTAATTCCAGCACTTTGGGAGGCCGAGGCAGGTGGATCACTTGAGGTCAGGAGTTCAAGACCAGCCTGACCAACATGGTGAAACCCCATCTCTACTAAAAATACAAAATCAGCCGGGCCTAAGGGTGTAATCCCAGCTACTTGGGAGGCTGAGACAGGAGAATTGCTTGAACCCAGGAGGGAGAGGTTGCAGTTAGCCAAGATTGCACCATTGCACTCCAGCCTGGGCAACAAGAGTGAAACTCCATCTCAAAAAAAAAAAAAAAAATACAATAGGTTATATTTTCCAAGTTCATTCTAAAGCAATTGCTTGAAGCCTTGAATTCACTCTCCCATACAGAACTAATGCTGAAAGATGTGCTTTGGTTTCCAGAATAGCCCACAGGAATGCATTTAACCCTTATTGTAGCTGAATTATATTTGCAGTAAAACAGTAGGGGACAAACTAGAACAAGTTGGCAATTAAACAGAAAAATAATGTCCAGAAAATGTCAGTGTTACTTGGAGAAGACAATGTCCTCTTTTGTGTAGGTTAGGAAAATGTCTAGATATCTCAAAGGGCTTTAGAGATTGATGCTGCTCATTCCACACTATGTCTTATTTTACTTCCAAATATATAGTGGTTTACTTGATAAATAGATGAATGCACTAATCCTACTATTATACTTATCAACTACAATCATAATAATTTCAGAATTCACAAATGGAACAAAGTGAGAGAAAGAAAGGGGAAGAAAAATCAATGTTCCTGAAATAATTGAACAGGAAATTTAAAAAGCAAGGCAGGAAAGGCTACACAAGTTTGTGAGAAATGAATGGTCCATGACAGAATGAACAAGGCTGTGACCTGTGAAAGACAGGGAGGTCCCACTGGGGAGGAGAAAGGAATTGTTGGGAAAAGAAAGTTCCCCATGTCGGCCATCAGGGGGTACTATGGGCCCAGAAACCTTGATTGCCAGTGGGAATGGCCTGAAAATGGGTGTGGGGAAGGAATCCACAGGGTCACAGCTCAGGTGTTTGCTACCAAGTGGTTGCTCACCCTCTATACCTCATCTGTGCCAATTGCTTTGTCCTTATACCCTCAGATAGTGGAACTGGCAGTGGCAGCTACTTGATGCAATGCTGTGCAAGTGAAGAAGGCACAGCAGATGCCAGTGTAGCTATTTCCATTCTGAACATCCACTTCGTGGACAAAGTAGAATGTTAAAACGAAAGATGAAAGGTGGAAACAGACATCACTGGCTCTGGGTCCTGAAGTCAGTGTTGCCAGAGGCATCCCATTTACAGATCGCTACTATGTACCAGACACGGTACACACATTGTTTCTACTACATAAAACAAATCAAAACAACTATGTAAAACTCATTCTGTAAATAAGGAAACTGACATCAAAGGTATACCCAAGACCGTACAGTGGTAGGTGGTAGAGGCAGGACTGGAATAGAGGTCTGCCCAGTTCGCAGCCTGCTTGTTCCCCTCACCTTCCTTCCAGAAATGGGGAGAGGATTGACCCTGATAGACTGCAAGTTCAGGATTATGACTAAGCCCCCAAGGAGCTTTGGAAGGCTATATTTGCCTTCCCTCCCTCTCCTCCATTCCCCTACTCCAGCAGTGGCTTTACAATTCCATTTTAAATTATTCTCCAGAGAGGGGTTGGAAAGGATAAACAGTTTTGGTGGAAGCATTGTAGAAGCAGGGTTTGTCTTGGTGGGAATGATGGGTCGCATATGCCCCTGGTTTGCTCAGACTCCCACAGAATGCCCCTTCATGGTCTCTGATAAGCTGCCTCCTGAGTTACTCTCTGCTCAGTGCCAGTAACGTACTGTTCTCCCCCGAAAAAAAGGAAGAAAAGTTCTCTGCTTAACTAAGTAGTGGCCCCAAATTGACATCCGCATAATGGAGTGTGATGTGTCAGGCATAAAAATGTATATTGCAAATATTCATCTGTCAAGACATCAGTGACTTTCCTGGTCTTTTACCCTACTTTTACTACGACATCTGAATTCAAGACATCCTAAGTAAATTTGACCTTTCAATGAAGTTGTTTCAACTTGTTCAGGTCCCTGGGGTGTCTACAATTGGGTATTCTGCTCTGGTAACCAACTAAATTCTCTCAGCTTAGACTTTGAAGGAGACAGCCCTATAACTGAGTCCCAGAGTCCAGTTGAGATCCTGTTCCTCCATTTATTTAAGGTCAATTGCCATTTTCTAAAAACTGCCTTTCAGGTTTTTTTTCATGAAATAATCATTATTTATTTTATTTTTACCTTATCATATAACTTGATTTTCTTTAACATTTCTCATGATGAATACAAAAATAGAGGAAGCTTGCACTAGGCCCAGCACTTCAAATGCATGAATACTAGAAGCATATGCTGGTGGGGGAGATGCAAAGAGTAGATAATTTTCCTGCTCTGTACAGAATCAAGGGGTTCCAAAAAAGCACTTCTCTGATCTCCCTTCTGTCTTTCCCTCTTTACTTCAATAGAAGAAAATTCCTCCTATCACCAAATTGGTTTCTTTCACTTTTGTCTCAGGAACTCTTTAAACTATGCCCTATGTCTTAAAGAGTTTAAAATATCACATCTGCCTAATTCATGCCTCTCGCTTCTGTGTCTACTTCAAGGTTCCCTTTCTTCTTTTTCCTACATTTTCTAAACCAATGCATGGGTTAAAGAATGTTAGGCTGTAACCCTTCTGCTAAAAGGGAGAACGAATGAGACAATGAAATGGACTGTCATCTTTGGAATAATGAAGAGCAAATTGCAACATAGTTCCAAAGTATAGCATACAAGTATTTGATTGTTTTAAATGCTCAAGTAAAATGTTTGAGGAAAAAGGTGATGTGTGCTAATTAATTATGATAATCATCAAAGCACTAATAATGACAGAGAAGCAATACAGCTGGGAACCAGTCACAGTTAGGAGCCCACATAAGAAGTTGACAGGAAGAGGTAGGAGGTGCCATTGAGATTTGGAAGTCATCTGAGAAAGACCACTAGAATTTGCCTGGCCTCAACTTAGTATCTCTGTGTTAAAAAATAAAAATAAAAATAAAAATAAAAGGAAAAAGAAAAAGAAAAGAAAAGAAAACTTAAAATGGAAGACAATTGGATTAGGATATTTCAAAGTTCTGGATGACAAGGTTTTTGTTGGAATTGCGGGAGACCGGAAGCCTTTGTTTTGGGGGGTCTGTTTTATTTTGTGTTGAGTGATCCCACAATGAGAAGCAGCTTAAAGCATCTGGTTCTGCAACTGGCTTAGGGTTGTTTTTTTATAGTGTTCGGTGTGCCCTTTTTCTCATGTGAGGGTTGGGAAACATATTGGCTGCATAAGTCTTGCCTTTCTAGTTTCCCCGGAAAGAAATCAGTTTTTGTTCAGGAACAAAGAAAAGAAAAATGTAGGTTAGAGCTACCCAAGTAAATGACAGAGGAAATAACATAAATGTGATAGGACTTAGGGACAGGAGAAATCTGTGCTCTAATACGTTCACTTGGAAGATTACAAAGGTGGGGGAAGACGGAAGCCCAAAGATAACCTCCTCTTTTCAAGACTTAACAATGAGAGTAAGTTTTGCTACTCAGAAAAAAAGAAGCAGTGTGTGCACACAAGCACACACCACAATATTTGCAGAAATCTTCCTCTGCTAAGTCCTGATCCAACTGAGTCATCAAAGGTGGTTTAGCTGGATGTCTTACTTATTATTCTAGAAGCAATTCATGATGGCTACTATGACTGGATATGTTGGCATGACAGAGGCAACCATCATCCCTAAATTTCTCTCTGTTTGTTCAGACTTCATGCAACAGAACACAACTGAACCTTGGTATGAGAAGGGAGGAGGCAGCGGTCCCTACAGCCCATAGCAACTGAGGAAGCAATTAGAAAAAGGAAGTCCTTGAAACTCCAACTAGAAATGGGAAACAGATCTGCTGTATGGCTAGTTGAGCAGTATGAGCATTAGGCACCTATTGCTTAATCTGCAAAATTCTTTCAAGAAGCTGGAAGTCTGTGTGAGGGAACAGGCTTCAAGGTTCTTGGCAGGAATATTCCGTGTAGGCTCTGCAGCATGCTGGGAGAAATGGCTTGAAATTATCTTGAAATAGTCTTGAAATTATTCTGAAAGGAAAAACACACTTTTACATTTAAGCTGACAGGTTGAGATGTGCACATTCGAACTTTCCTTCTTAGTGTATAACGAGTCTTGTATCTGGGAATTGCATTGATGGAGAGAGTTGCCAACTTTACGAAAAAGCTCAGCTCAGGGGTGCCCTGATGGATACCATGACAGTACATGAACATGGACTTTTTTATTTTTTATTTTATTTTTATTTTTTTGAAATGGAGTCTGGTTCTGTCACCCAGGCTGGAATGCAGTGGCACAATCTCAGCTAACTGCAACCTCCATCTCCCGGGTTAAAATGATTCTCCTGCCTCAGCCTCCCAAGTAGCTGGGATTACAGGTGCCCACTGCCATGCCCAGCTAGTTGTGTGATTTTTTGTTTTGTTTTGTATTTTCAGTAGAGACAGGGTTTCACCATATTGGTCAGGCTGGTTTTGAACTCCTGACTTCAAGTGATCTGCCTGCCTTGGCCTCTCAAAGTGCTGGGATTACAGGCATGAGCCGCCACACCCAGCCATTGAACATGGATTTTTGAGCAAGATAGCTGAAAGACTAATTATTGGTTTTATTAAAAAAACACTCATTCATCCTTTAATCAGCAAGCATGTTGAAAGCATTTTAAAATAATTTTTATTTTTCAAAATTCAGCTTAAATACATGTTTACAAAGAACATATTTATTGCATAAAGCAAGGTGTTCCTCCATAATGAAATCCTAACATAGATTAAAGTAATTTCAATTCCAGGTTACATGATAAGGAGATTTAAGATATGCAAGCTAATTGTGACTAAGTGATTTATACTTAAAACCAAATACATCTGATACACCAGCTATGGACTGCTATAGAATTCAGGTGAGCAACTCTTAGATGAATGTCACTAGATGGTCTGGAAGGAGTGGAGCTCCACCTCAACCCTGCTGAAAGGCCAGAGTTTAGGTCTGTGGTGTTTAGTGTATTGGCCTGAAGGTCTGCAAATTGAGAAACTTTCCTAGACCCATAAACACTGAAGAAAGTGATTATTTACCCTTTCTTTCTTTTTTTGGGGGGTAAAATTAAGGTATAGATTACAAAAATAAGTCTTTATAGAAGTGATTTCCAGGCATTGGGAGTGGAAGAGATGAGTTGACTCCAAAGGTGTAATAGCAGGGAATCTTTTGGGGGGGAGGTTGATGGAACTTTCTATATCTTGATTGTGGTGGGGGATACATGACTGCCTGTATTTATGAAAACCCATGATGCTGTAGATCACCAAAAGTGGATTTTATAAATACGTAAATAAATAATCTATATTAATATGTAAATAAAATAAATGTATAAATAATATGAACAAAAAGATGAAGAGAAAAAACCTTTATGGAGAAGGCAAGAGAGTTACATATTTGATATGATGATTAAATATGGTTTTGTGGCTGTTGCTCTGAGCCCATGGTCAATAAGCTCTTAGGCTATGGGAGGGTCTGATATAACAACACCTGGGGGTGTAAAGACAAAGATCCCTGAGAAGCATAGGCCACCGCTCCTAAGTAAGGCTGAACGATTGGTCAGATCATCATGTAGGAACTTCTTCAACATTCTTTAAATAAAGGATCATATGTTCCGAATGTGTTTGATAAGAAGAGTGTGAATGCAAACACGTTGCATAAGAATATCTATGCAATGAAATGTTGTTCCTTGTGTCATTCCTATATCCTTATGAAATTCAGGCACAAAATTTCCTCACTGGTAGTCACTGAAGAGAGCTCACTTTAAATACATGATTGTAGTTATCAAAATTAGTATAATGGCACTGCAGGGTATTTACTTAGAAACATTTGGTCAGTTTTCTTCTTCAGCTCTGATATTTGACATAAGGACATAAATTTGAATATGATATTGCAAAAAACCCTGTATCAGTCTGCCCTGACTTCCAGGACATACTGACACGAGAGAGAAGGGCACACACCACTGCAACAGGAATAGGTTTATTCAAAGACCTGACCCGGCCCACGCTATACGCAGCATCTCACCCCAGGTACAGCAGTGGAAGCCAATCTCCTGTGGCCAGGTTGTAGTTCTATTCCAGTTGTCTCAGTTGTCAGAGCCTATGATTTCCCCAGATGTCTCCTATACCTGCCCCCTCTTGCCTCGCTAGTTACACAACTGATCTCTTTGTCACAGTGCCACACAGCACAGTACAGCTTGTCTCTCTAGAGCACAGCAAACAACTCTTGCATACACACGTGTTGCCACACACCCTGCACCATGTCCTCCTGCATTCTTAGCCACCCAGGACATCTTGTCTTCCAGAATGATTTTCTGATACTTCAGGCTTCTCTCCTCCTATAGTTCCCACCAGGATACATGTTTCAGAAATTAATTCTAAAGTAGCTACAAATCCTTTTTTAAGAAGAAAGAAAAGGGGCACAACACTAAATAAGTAATGTTTTTGAACAGCCTATTTGTGGGTAGTCAATCAAATTAGGGCATAAAAGCACACAATTAAATATTATATAACCATTAAAAATGAAGTCTACAAAGAATCAAGATTAACATGAGAAGATTTGTGTTTCAGTGGTAAATAAAAAACATAAAAGTCAAAATTGTGTCTACAACTTCTTGAAAAATATAAGAAGGAAATTGTAATGAGAGACTATCTTTGGGAAATGTGATTAAAACTGTTTTTTTCTCATGCATTTTTTTTCTTGTTTTCAAACCATGAACAAGTATTTATTTATGATCAGGAAAAATAATGAAAAAATTAAACACACAAAAAAATTCTAAATGAAATGATTGAGTTCACTAAAGTGCTGTAAAGATTAACAATAAAAGATCAGAATTAAAGCTCTGGATTAGAAGATGGCATCTTAGTTGTTCCCTCTCTTGTCTTGGGAGCTGATGGTTGACTGGTTTAGAAATGCATTTATTTATATAAAGTACCTAGGTTCTAAAATACTAAAGATCAAGGGTATTTTCAGTAACAGTATGTGTAAAAATAAGAAGATACAGTGTAAGTCTCACCTGTTTTCATTCTAGATTAACTTTAAAGATAGAAATACAGACCTGTTCTGACATGGCAGTTTCAAGAGCTGTTTGTGTGCGGAATAGCTTTTGAGTGTGTCTGAGTAAGATGAGCTTACCAGAAGTTAATTCACAGTCTATTTATACTGCAATCAGTTCACAAAACTTGTTATAAGAGCCCGTAGGAAAGAAATCAAGAGTGACCATAGGTCCAGATAATCCCATAGACCTTAAAATATGGAAGGCATTGGATAGAGTCAAGACATCCAGATAAACTCATGAAGTAGTGTCAAACATCATAGCATGAATTGGTGTTTAGTTCTTGCTCTGTTATGTATAATAATATTTTTTTCCTTTAAAACATTATATATGATGAGTTATAAAATCTACCTAGAGCATTTCTTCTGGGGTGCGCCATTCTACTTAGTCCCAAGTAAGGTTTATAAATGTTCTGTAAAGGTGTGTCTGTTTACTAAGTAAAGAGTGTGTCAACACACTTGCCAACAATCTTGGTTGAGCAGAGAAAAGTGAGAAGTTTCGGGGAGGAGAACTGACAGAATGAAAGCTGGAGCAGCGTTTCTGAAAATCTCTTGCACGTTATTCTTTTGTACGAAAATGAACAGAAAAGGTTTTATGTCAACTGAGTTGGTAAATGGCTGCATCTGCTCCCTTTCTATGACACTTACAATGCATATTCTCTTAGAAAAGGCACTAAGAATTCACAAACGAAATCAACCTATTGGATTCATAGGATGGGGCCTTTGTTAACATTCATTATTTCTCCTCACATTTATGAGGTCAAAGCAGACCCAAATGGCTGTAGAAACAACCTCGTATCTTTGGCTTAAAGCATCTAAGGTTTATTTCTTGCTCACACTGTAAGTTCAGTGTGATTTGATAGGGAGGCTTGGCCAGTTCAAGCCACACAGGGACCCAGCTTCATGGAGACTCCTTATTGGCACGGGTGTCTGAGATCACCCTAATTGGAAAAGGGGTGTGTCTAATTGCACACTGTCTGCTACAGCTTCCACCTGAAATTGACATTTATTATTTAACATATTTTGTAGGCCAAACCATGCCTAGGAGGTTTGCTGTGCCAATTTGTTTAACTATGGAAAACTTTACTTAACTGCACCTATCGAAATTGTATCTACCATCTTTAAAAGAGCATGAGAAAGGAAATGCACACAAACAGATTGTCTTTGGGAAATGTGATTAAAACTTTTTTTTTAATTTTGCAGGACAGGTTTTTAGGACACTCAGTTCAAATATACAGTTATTGGGGGCTACAGTGTCAACCCCTTCACTTATGAATAGACACATGGCAAGGAGAGGATGTTTTTGTGAACAGATTCAAAGATATGAGTGAGACGTTTATACCAACACTCAGTCCCCCAACCTGTTCCACCTGGTCTCCACTGGAAATTTTTTTTCTCTTTTCTTTTCATTTCTCTATTCCTGTGATAGATTATCCATTCTTTACCACAAAGATTACCTGGGAAGACTGGATGACCTTCTTCCTTTCACTCTGGTTCCTCAGGTGACATATTATTAAATCATTACACACTTTAACACACTTTTACTTATAAAAATGTCATCTAAGGGGGGAAAAGAGAGTTGAAAATAAAGCTTAGCATTAGCAAATGGTAAAATTAAATTTCAGGGGCTACTATTTGCAACCCTGCACAGGCAGATGCTGTTCTTGACGTGGAGTACGTCCACTAACAAAGCCTAAGATTTTGTCCCGTCGGATGGGGTTCATAGGAACAGCCAGCGACAAGTGGAAGAAAAGAAAGCGAAGGTCAAGAGGACAGAGAATGGTGTGTGTGTGTGTGTGTGTGTGTGTGTGTGTGTGTCGGTGTGTGCACATTTATTTTAGCTTGGGCAGGCCATTTGCTTTCCATTGCTACTATGACAAATTACCACATGCTTAGTGGCTTTAAACAACACAAACTGATTATCTTTTTTTTCTTTTTCTTTCCTTTTTTTTTTTTTTAGAAGGAAACTCACTCTGTCACCGAGGCCGGAGTGTAGTGGCACAATCTAGGCTCACCGCAACCTCCACCTCCCAGGTTCAAGCAATTCTCCTGCCTCAGCCTCCTGAGTAGCTGGGATTACAGGCACCCACCACCACACATGGCTAATTTTTGTATTTTTAGTAGAAACGGGATTTCACCATGTTGGCCAGGCTGCTCTCGAACTGCTGACCTCAGGTGATCCACCCATCTCGGCCTCCCAATGTGCTGGGATTAAAGGTGTGAGCCACTGCACCTAGCCTTGATTATCTTATAGTTCTGGCATCCAAAGTCTAAAATGGGTCTCCCTGGGCTAGCATCAAGGTGTTGGCAGAGCTGCATTCCTTCTGGAAGCTCTTGGGAGAACCTATTTATTTCCTTGCCTTTTCCAGCTCCTACAGGTGACCCACATTCCTTGGCTCTGGGATCCTTTCCTTTGTCAAAAGCAGCAACATCTTCTTCCACTGCCCTATCTCTGGGTCTCCTTTTTTGGCCTCTTCTTCCACCTGATAGTATCCTTATCATTACATTAGGTCCAAATGTATGATCCAAGATAATGTACCATTTTGAGATCAGCTGATTAGCAACCTTAATTCCATTTGCAATCTCAGTCCAGTCCCTCTTTGCCACGTAGCCTAATATAGTCAGTTTTGGGAGATTCAGATGTAGCCCTCTTGAGCGGTATTATTTTTTGTACCACAGGTGGTCACAAGAACTTTCACTGAGGAGGTGATATCTGAGCAAGGACCTAATTTGAGTGAGGAAAGGAGCCAGGTGGTATCCAAGGGAGACATGTTCTAGGTTGTAGGAGTGTCAGTGTTAGAGTCTGGAGATGTGGGTGTGCTTGAGAAATGGAGAAAGGTCGCTGAGCTAGAGAAAAGCAAATCGGGGCAAGAGTGATAGGAAATTAGGCCAGAAGGCCAGGTATAAGCAAGATGGTATAGTATCTTCATGGCCAGGGTCAGGATTTGGGATTTTATTCTAAGAGTGGTGGGTAGCCAATGGTGGGTTTTGAGTAAGGAAGTAACATAATTTGAATTATGTTTTTTAAAAGATCAGTTTTGGTCAGTCATGGGGGCTCACATCTGTAATCCCAGCACTTTGGAAGACCAAGGCAGGAGGACCACTTGACACCAAGACTTTGAGACCAGTCTGGGCAATGTAGCAAGATCCTATCTCTACAAAAAAGTTAAAAAATTAGCAGGTGCAGTAGTGTGCACCTGTAGTCCAGCTACTAGGAAGGCTGATGTGGGAAGACCACTTGAGCCCAGGAGTTAGAGGATGCAGTGAGCTATAATTGTGTCACTGCACTCCAGCCTGACAGAGTGAGTGACAGGAGGGAAAAAAATGGATCAGCTTAGATTTTGTTGAAAAACAGACTATAGACAAGGAAGAGCAGAAGCAAGCAAGCAAGCAAGGAGACTAGGTAGAAGACCGTTCCCTTTCCGGTGAAAGGGAAGTATGGCTGGGATTGAGTGGTAGCAGTTAGAGCTGAGAAATGGGTGGTTTGGGGCTTTATTTGGAAATGCAATTAGTAGGTTATCATTATGGATCAGATGAAGAGTGCAAAAAAAGAGGAAATTTTGGCCTAAGGAACTGAAGGAATAAGACTTAGAGAACAGTGGGTAAGGAGCATGTCTTAGATGAAATACCCAGGGTTGAGTCCAGATATGTGAAATTTAAGATGCTTATTAGACCTCCCAACAGATGTCGAATGGGCACTTGGATAAATAAACTGAGAGCTCAGGCAAGATGTCTGAATACAAAGATAATATTTAAGGCCATGACTTAGGGAGTGAGTGTGGATGAAGAGAAGAGGAGAGAGGCAAAGTGAGGCCAAGACACAAGAGCAGAAAAGAGGTGAGAATGAGTTTGAGATTGACTCCTGGGGCACCATGACATTTACAGAAATACCGGGGATTTGAGGAGGATGTGTACAAAACACAAGGAAGGAGCCACCAGTTAGGTAAAAGAAAGCCATGAAGCCAATAAAGAAAGTCTTGTGAGGTGAAGTGAAATGAGGATGGAAATTTAGAACATTTGATTTGGCAGCTGAAGGTTATTGATGACTGAAAAATCCAGTTACAGTGGAGTGTGTCAAGAGAGAATGGGAGATAGCCAATGGGAGAGAGTAAGTGTGTGTAGCAATTTTTAAAGTTTGGCTATATATGGGACCAGAGAAATTTAATAGTTAAGAAGGTATTATAGCTTGATTATAGTCTAATAGGAATTATCAAGTTCAGATGACTGTAAGAGAGAGAGACCATAGTCAGGAACCAATTTCTGAGTGGAGGGAAATGCAGGGGATTCCTCTACAAGTGGAAGGACTGGCCTTAGAGCAGCAGAAACGCATTTCATCTGCAGTGGCAGGAGGGCAGGCAGAGTCAGGAAACAACTGAGGATGAGCTGCTGGATTGGATGGCAGGAGGAAGAAAATGATCTTTTCTCATTGCTTGCATTTTCTCATTGAAACAACAAGCAAAGTCACCATCTGAGGTTGAGGAGGTCAAAGAGAAGGTTGGGAGCAAAAGGAAATTCAGAGTAGTGGCAGAATGGCAAAGTGGAGTCATGAAATAATAGGATTACCAGACAGGAAGTTGGATAAGTAACCTTTTGCCTTTGTTCAGCCTATAGCATGGCCCTACCTGTTTAGGTAGGATTTAAGAAGATCTCCCATAGAATAATTTCCTCTCGAGTGTTAATCTTCCCTAAGGATAAATTACAGACACAGAAGGTTTGAATTCTGGGGTACCTATTTTGTGTAACATTGGGAATGGTGACTTTAAAAAAACAAACAACAACAACAACAAAAACCATAATACGAACTGTTCTGTTAGGTGAATGGTTGGGACCCTTTACTATATCTTTTGGCAGCAGGCATGAGATTCTTAGAAATATAAGACCATGTAACAGGAGGCAGTGTAAATACATTTTCAAGTGTTATTGGGAGGCAAATTTATACAGCCTTCATCGTGAAACCCAATCCTATCCTGTATTTAAAAGCACTCCTTTGAGGTCATATTGAAGAAATTTATGTCAGTGAGTCACCTTCCTGAGATGCCCATGCTGAGAGGTTTTCATTACTTCTTGAAGCAAATAAATGATTGGGTACTAAACAGAAGCATGCTGTGTTCCTGGCCATCAGAAGTTGACATTGAAGCCATATTGAGAGTTCTCATTTCCCCAGCTGTACCTATGACTACGATATGTGATCCTAGGTAATTATTCCAAGTGTGAAAAAAATCTAGAGGTGAAAGAAAGTATGAAAGATTCAAGTACGAAGAAAGCTGAAAGAAAACCATCGTGGTTGAGAGTGACAAAGATGATACTGACAGGGGAAGGGTTTTGTAAACCTGGTTTCGCATTTGAGAAAAGTTGAGATTTGAGAAACAACTCTGGAAAGAAACAACTCTGGACAATGTAGCAAGACCCTATCCCTACTAAAAAAATTAGCAGGTGCAGTAGTGTGCACCTAAGAAACAGGTGCATTTGAGAAATAACTCTGGCTTCAGGATAGAGAATGGATTTGAAGGTGGCAATGCTGGAGGAAGGCAGACTGGTCAGGAAGCTGTCACAGCAACAGAGGCTAAAGAAAATGTTGACCATAACTAGGGAAGTGGCAACAGGGATGGAAAGAAGTAGATGGATTTGGGAGATAACAAAAGGAAGCATCAACAAGAATTGATGACTCATTGAAATATGGGAGTGCAAGATTGGTGATCGTCAAGGATGCATTCCAAGGTTCTGGCTTGGTTAATGGGGTTACCATTATATTAGGTAAAAATAGTGAGCAAGACAGACATCCTCTGATCTCACAATATTCAACTTTGATGAGATAGTAGTGCCTGGCAGTTCTAATCTGGTCTTAAGTGCTGTAACAGCAGAAAGTGAAGAAGGCTTCAGGTGTTCAAAATAAGGACTCATGTGCTTGAATCAATGGGGGGCTTTTGTGTTTTGGGGGAGGATTTTCAGAGAGTACAACATAAAAGGTTGGAGCTGAAGAATGGTGTGTCTGTGTGTTTGAGCATGCCTATGTGTGCGTGTGTGCATGTCTGTCTCTGGGATGGACAGATGAGAGAAAAAACTGTTCCAGCCTCTATTGGATGTAGTGAAGTCAGTTGCAGAAGATGAGGTCAACGTTGTCTCAGTCAGTACAATCCACTGTAACCAGCTCTGTGTGTCACACTGTTGCATCATACTTGGGGGTTTTGTTTTTGTTTTTAATCTGATCTGGCACAGATAACTTATCATTTCCCTTGGAAGAGATAATTCTTTCATTTCTCAACTCCCAATTTCCCTTGCATTATATCCAAAATATTATTTGCATCGTATAATCCATAGGTATTTCCTGACCAAATCATACATACTACTTAGTCAATTTATATGTGAAAAACATTCTGAATGATAGTATGTGATGTGGAAAAGCCATTCATATTTACTACCAAGCAACTGTCTGAAGAACACTGGCTAGGCACTATTGGTTATTCAAGACAGGAAGTTAGAAATGTGATCTCTGTTCTTAAGGAAGACAGTCTAGACATGAAAATAATTACAGCAGAAAATTTATATTCTCATCCGGATCAGGAAAACTATACAATAGGCAGACTAATATAATCTGTACTGTTGCTATTACAAGCCCATGTTTATGAAAATGATTATTAAAACTCTAAAAGCATGCATTTAGCTCACTTAGCTTTGTTATTATAGTATTCGATTATATATGAAACTTAATATTTAAATAGCGATATGAACAAATAATTTAAAAGGGAAGTTTCATGATTTCCAGGAAAGAATAGTTTATTTCACTATGAACTAGAGGAATAGTCTACAAGCTTCTTAAATTCTGAATGAGTTTACCAAACTGAACAGTGACTAAGTCCAGGGAGTTGTATTCTAATGGCCTTTCACTTGCTACCTTATACAGTTCTCTATACAAGTTTTGTTACTTTGTACTGTTTGAAAATTTTGAAACAATAATCTCAAAGAATTTCAATTTGAAAAGATAGTTTTGAGCCCTACCTTTTAAAATGGGCTTTTAAGGAGTGATTTGAACAAGTTGGCAAACAAGGAAAAAAGGAATTTCACCAAAGAAATGTCTGAAAGAAGGCCATGGAATGAGACTCAACAGGGAACAGAAAGAAAGTTAACCCAAATGGAAAGGAAGCCCAACCAATACCTAGAGCTCAGGCTGTGGGGTCAAGATCTTCACGTGGGCCACGCGCGGTGGCTCACGCCTATAATCCCAGCACTTTGGGAGGCCGAGGTGGGTGAATCACCTGAGGTCAGGAGTTCGAGACTAGCCTGACCAACATGGTGAAACCCCATCTCTATCAAAAATACAAAAATTAGCTGGGCACAGTGGGGGCCACCTGTAATCCCAGGTACTCGGGAGGCTGAGGCAGGAGAATCGCTTGAATCCGGGAGGCGGAGGTTGCAGTGAGCCAAGATAGTGCCATTGTACTCTAGCCTGGGCGATAAGAATGAAACTCCATCTCAAAAAAAAAAAAAATCTTCAGGTGTGGAGGGCAGGGTATTTATATTTGATCTATCAGGTAAAGATAAGAAAATTATTTAATGTGCGTGTAAGCATGCACATATTTGTATATAGTATGCATACGTGATATAGATCATAAAATACTCATTTAATCAAAATAACACATCTCTCGAACATCGTAAGGAAAACTGTGATATTCTTTAAAGGTTTTTCAGAGTGGTTTTGGAGTATTGGGAGCCATACATTTGGAAGTTTAATTTTCTGTGATATAAAAATCAATCCAGGTCCTTTTCTTGGATTTGTTTCTTGTAGACAAGGAGTTCTCTGGCCAAGGCTGTTTTATTTTGAATTATACATACGAGTATTCCCTGTTCTCAGATGCATCATTCCAATTAGAAACTTTTATAGCATAAATTTGACTATGATAAAGATTATAAACAAATGGTTAAGGATTTCTTCTACCCTTTTCATGATTAAAAAGGTCTGGATAGCTCCTGCAACAGCTTTAAGAAAATCTCCAAGGAGACAAACTTAAAGTGATGACTGAAGGTTGTAGGGAAACCTACTGTTTTCTCTACTGGGTCAGGGGCTTTATAAATAGTTTTCAAAAATTATCCTGTCTGCCAAAATGTTTGGTCACACCTGTGTGAGTTACAACTCTTCTCTTCTGTCCCAGGGCGATCTCTCCTCACTTCGTGTAATTCCTCTCATTTCACTAGGCTAAAAGATTAGAAAAATCTGCTTACAGCCCACGTGTCCACCATATTCCACATCCCCTCACTCCTGCTCTGAAATGCATATTCCCATGAAGAAAAAAAAAAGAACCAAAAGCTGCCAATTTCAGAGAGATAGCTTCAAAGGCCAGAAATGGAGGATGAGTCAAATCAATTGTATTGATACCACCCATCTAAAGTTCCCGGGTTGACTTATACATCTTTTCAGTTTATCTTTAGGTTTTCCCCTTTTCAGATCACAGATGTACTAATACTCATGGTAAAGGCTCAAACGATTCAGAAATATACTCCATGAAAATATAAAAGCCAATGACACCTGTATATTCCTTGCTTTCAAGATAACCATCACTCATAGGTTAGTGTCAATACATACACACACAAGCACAATCACAATCACACATACACATCCATGCATAGAATATTTGACTTTTAAAGAAAAGTGGGATCATACTGAACAATGTACCCTTGACAAATTTTTGAATGAATAGATGGGAACTTGGTTATTCATTCATCAAACACTGATGATCTACTATGTTTTTGGCACTGGAAAATGCAGAGGTGAAGCAGACAACATCTCTGTGGAATCTATGTATATTCTCAAAGGGTAGATAATACCTATATAAAAACATAGATTTTTAACTCCTATATAGTATTGTATACTATTGCAGTAAACATGCCAATACGATCATCTCAGATAGTGGTAAGCACTATGAAGACAATGTAAAGGGGTAATGGGAGAGTGAATGACAATGAGTAGACAGAACTGGTGGCTTAGGGCTTGTGTCTCTGAGGATGTGGTACTGGAACTATTCATGTCCTCAGCCCACTTTTTGATGGGATTGTTTGTTTTTTTCTTGCTGATTTGTTCGAGTTCTTTGTAGATTCTGGATATTAGTCCTTTGTTGGATATATAGATTGTGAAGATTTTCTCCCGCTCTGTGGGTTTTCTGTTAATTCTGCTGATTATTTCTTCTGCTGTGCAGAAGCTTTTCAGTTTAATTAAGTCCCAGCTATCTATCTTTGGTTTGGCTGCATGTTTACTGCATGCGACATCTTATTTGCATGTTTACTGCGATAGCATACAATACTCTCATCTGAGTAATGAGAAGAAGGCAGCCAAGTGAAGCACTGTGGGAAGAGCATTCCAGGAAGAGGAAATGCAATGGCAAGACTGAAAATGCTGGGTGTGTTCACAGGACAGGAAGTTGGTGTGTCTGCAGGTTGAGGAGCATGGGGAGGCAGGAGATGCTGAGATTGGAGAAGCAATCAGGGGCCAGACAATGTTGGTCCCTTGGGCCAAGTCAGGTTTTATTATTGCAGAGGTGGAACTATAAATCACCGGGAAGAAATGGATTGCTCAGTAAGTGCTGTGGGGGCAAGTGGCTTTTCATATTGAAATAAGAAAAGTATCTCTGCCACTGTATAAACAAGAATAAATTCCAGATGGACAATAATCCCAATTAACAGAGTTGAAAGACTAGAAAAATATTGGAAGATGATACTTGCCACATTTATGTGGGAAAGAGAATCAGTAGGCAAAAATATATGAATTATGAATCAATGAAACTAATAACTAAACAAGAGAATGAGCAAAGAATATAAACTGGCACTTCACAGAAAGAAAAAAGTGAATGGTCCACAAACAGGAAAGGATGATCAGCCTTACTAAAAGTCAGGAAAATGCAAATGAAAACAAAATGAGGTACCATTCCATGGTCATCTAGACTGGAAAATATTTAAAAGTCCTCCTGTAATAACAAAAGTTGAGAATCCCTCACTCCTCCACTGCTAGTGGGCATAAAATTGTAGCTACTTTGGAGATCAGTTGCCATGTCTAATCAAAAGAATATGATCATTCTCTATGACCCAGCAATGTCATTCCTAGTTTGGGTGCTGGAGAGAAACCCTTGTACATAGGCACATGGAGGTGGATATATGAATGTTCAGAGCTCAGAGTAGAAGTGGGAAAACTGGAAAAAAACCCACAAATGTTCATATGTAAACGGAATGGATAAATAAAATGTAGACTATTACTCAATCGGATGCAATGCTATACAGGAGTTAAAAAGAATGAGCTAGACTGATCTATGTATGTATGTATCTATCTATCATCTGTTTTTCTATACATTCACTCATCTATGTTTCTATATATCTATGTATCTAGCTAGCTAGTCATCTATCTATTCATGAATATTTCTCACAAACATAAAACTGAGGGTAAAACACAAGTACAAACTGCTAAGTACAGAAAATATAATGCCATGTTTTTGTTTTTTTGTTTGTTTGTTTTTGAGATGCAGTCTCACTCTGTCTCCCAGGCTAGAGTACAGTGGTGTAATCTTAGCTCACTGCAACCTCTGCTTCCCAGGTTCAAGCAATTCTCCTGCCTCAGCCTCCTGAGTAGCTGAGACTACAGGCATGTGCCACCACACCCAACTACTTTTTGTATTTTTAGTAGAGGTGAGGTTTCACCATGTTGGCCATGCTCGTTTCGAACTCCTGACCTCAGGTGATCTGCCTCCTGGACTCCCAATATGCTGGGATTACAGGCATGAGCCACTGTGCCTAGCCAAATGCCATGTTTTCTTAGGCAAAGACTTTATAATCAAGAACCCAAAAGCAAATGCAACCAAAACAAAGATAGATATCTGGGACTTAATTAAACTGAAAAGACTCTGCACAGCAAAATAAATAATTGCCAGAGTTAACAGAAAACCCACAGAGCGGGAGAACATCTTCACAATCTATACATCTGACAAAGGACTAATAATATCCAGAATCTACAAAGAACTCAAACAAATCAGCAAGAAGAAAACAATCCCATCAAAAAGTGGGCTAAGGACATGAACAGACAATTCTCAAAAGAAGATATACAAATGGCCAAGAAGCATAGGTAAAAATGTTCAACATCGCTAATGATCAGGGAAATGCAAATCAAAACCACGATGTGATACCACCTCACTCCTGCAAGAATGGCTATAATTAAAAAATTTTAAAAAAATAGATGTTGGTGTGGATGTTGTGAAAAGGGAACACTTTTACACTGTTGGTGGGAATGTAAACTAGTACAACCACTATGGAAAACAGTGTAGAGATTCCTGAAAGAAATAAAAGAAGATCTACCATTTGATCCAGCAATCCCAGTACTAGGTATCTACCCAGATGAAAAGAAGTCATTATATGAAAAAGATACTAGCATATGTGTGTTTATAGCAGCACAACTTGCAATTTCAAAAATATGGAACCAGCCCAAATGCCCATCAATCAACGAGTGGATCAAGAAAGTATGGTATATTTATACACCACGGAATACTACTCAGCCATAAAAATGAATGAAATAATGGCATTCTCAGCAACCTGGATGGAATTGGAGACCATTATTCTGAGTGAAGTAAGTCAGAAATGGAAAACCAAACATTGTATGTTCTCACTGATAAGTGGGAGCTAAGCTATGAGGATGCAAAGGCATAAGAATGACACAATGGACTTTGGGGACCTGGGAGAAAGGGTGGGAAAGGGGTGAGGGATAAAAGACTACACATTGGGTACAGTGTACGCTGCTTGGGTGATGGGTGCACCAAAATCTCAGAAATCGCCACTGAAGAACTTACTCATGTAACCAAACACCACCTGTTCCCCTAAAACCTATTGAAATAAAAAATAAATTTAAGAAGAAAATATAATACCATTTTTCTTTACTTCACAAGACTGCACCAAAGACTACTCTATCAACTGTCGGCAAACTACAACTAAAACTGGCCCACCATCTGTGTGTGCACAGCCTATATGCTGAGAGTAGTTTTTATATTTTTAAATGGCTGGATATATGTTTTTAAAGAATAATATTTCATGACACATAAAAGTTATATAAAATTTGATTTCCATGTTCCTATATGAAATTCTATTGGAACACAGCCAAGCCCAAGCCCATTATTTAACATACTGTCTATGGGCTGCTTTTGTTACAGGGCAGAATTGAGTAGCTGTGACAAAGATTATACAGTTTGCAAAGCCTAAGACATTTATCTAGTCCTTTACAGGAAAAGCACTGTAGACCACAGCCCTGTATTATTCATGACATTATTTTTCAAATGGCCAGAAACACATACATTTAATTCCTGATGGTGGCAACCTCTGGACGGGGAGGAGGGAAGAGGAATGGAATGGGGGACAGGTGTCAAAACGTGCCGTAATGTTTGTGAATCGCAATTTAAAAACATTGTCCATTCTTCACAATTATTGATTCTTCCTGGTGAGAATACCTGTGTTTCATGTATTAAAGTCCTTATATTTCTCTGTACTTTTAAAAAACCTCAGAAAAGCTAAAAATACATGTATTGTGTAAACATTTTTCTGTATCAGTGCATACAAATCATATGTGTATAACAGTTGAATCTTAGTCTATCTTATAGATAGCAGATGTTTCTTTTTGAGTCCCTTATTTATAAACATTTAAGTTGCTCCAGTTTTTGGTGTCACAGTGTAGCAATATTTTCATACTATTTCTTGTGTGTGTGTGTGTGTGTGTTTTAGAGACAAGAGAGTACTTACTCTGAGACTTTAGAGACAGAATACTCTTACTCTGTCACTTAGACTAGAGTACAGTGGCACGATCCTGGCTTACTTCAGACTCTACCTCTCAGGCTCAACTGATCCTCCCACCTCAGGCATGGGCTACTATGCCTGGCTAATTTTTTTTTTTTTTTTTTTTTTGGTAAGAGTTAGGGTTTTGCCATGTTGTCCAGGCTGGAGTGCGGTGGCACTATCGTAGCTTACTGTAGCCTTGAACTCCTGCCTCAAGCGATCCTCCTGCCTTGGTCTCCCAAAGTGCTGGGATTACAGGCATGAGCCACTGTGTTATTATTTCTACTGAACAAAATACTGAAACAATTTTTTGATCAGAAGGAAATATACATATAAAATTAGGATATGTGGTGCCAAATGGCTGTTCCAAACTTCAGCATGAAATTATTGTCTTGAAGTAGAGCAAATGTTATTAATTTGGAGCCAGATTGGTAAGTGACAAGTGGTAAGTTATTACTGCTTTAATTTGAGGCTCAGGTTGTCTCTCTGAATTTTCAGGCTAATTTATTTTTACCTGTAATGCCTGTTCGGATCCTTAGAAATTTTTTTCTATTGAATTTTAGTCTTTTTCTCATTGATTTGGGGACTCTTACATATTACATATATTCCTCCTATTCTTGAAAAATTTTCACTTTGGTTTTCGTTTATTAGTTTTGTTAATCACCTTCTGCCACTTAGAAAACTTGACATTGTATGCAGTCACTATAAAAGCTTTTCTGAGCTTTTGCCTTTGCTTTCTCCGTAGTTTGTGATATGCTGAGAGGCTCGCTTAGGTAACTAACGGGCTCCATCCTCTCCCGGAACCACTGGTCCTTTTGCGTTCTGTGGGGTTGACAGTCCTCCCGGGGTAACCCGATGCCTTCCTTCTGCTTCAGACGACAGGCGGCCCTACCCTAAATGCGTTGTCCCATGTCAGTCAGCAGGTTTGGTTAGGAAAACAGAAAGCACATTGAGTATTACAACTAGGAAGGAATTTCACGCAGAGTCTGGCAGGCTTTCATGGACGTTGGCAAGGATAGGGTGTGAAAGTCTGGAAAGTTGCTACCTGCAGATCAAGGAATTTGGAAGTTCAGGGATCACAGGACTTGATCTCTGCTGTCCAAAGGACTAAAGAGGTGATTGTCAGGAGGATATGTGGGAGCTGCTGGAAGAACATCACATCTGTCACCGCTGATGTCCACATGCTTCCTGAGGCTGTCACCAGAAAACCATGGCTTCTCTTTCTTTCCCTGTTCTCAAATCTCTCCTGAGCCTCTCATTCATTCAGAATCCTGCTCATTAGAAAGTCTAGGAAATGTATTTTCCATACTTTCAGTCCTTGCCATAAAGAGAAGAGACTGGAAGGGCTAACACAGTGCTGAGTATTGACAGACATTACTTGGAAGTAGTTTTCACTAAAGGTCAGATCAAATTAAATCAAAAACATCCTCCATGCATCATAGTTTCATTGAGCACTAGGTTGACATAGTACTGAGCAGTGTGTCAGCTTATTTGGCATGAAAGAACCTTGCTTAGAAAAGAGAAATAAGAAATTAGGGAAAGCGCACCTTCAGAGTCAACCCATATATATCTTACTTATTTGAAATTTTATTCAATTACAATGTTAGGTTCAAAGTCAGATAATTTATTGAAATAATAAAACAGAATTTTAGAAAGGTGATTTGTTGACTTCAAAGGTCAATGAGAGGAGGACACACCAGATTAAAAACTCGTCTCAGTACATAGAGACCTGGGACAGTGCAATTCTGCTCTGTTATAATCCCTGGATTGGATATGAAATTAATGAAGCCCGTTCATTTGTACCCTTGGTCCAGAAGAAAAATATTACTGCCAAATTGCCCAGTTGACACTTGCAATCAAGTTATTACACAGTTCATCCTATAATGGCAGAAAGGATATCTTGGGAATCACACAGGCAGAATTACATAACTTTAACTAGCAAAGGAAGGTCCCGTTCAGAGCTGGCTTATTTTTTCCCCTAGAATTCATTTCCTTCCTCACTGAAGTCTGCTCTTCTGAAGTCCTTCTGCGATCTCCTTTAACTCTGTTTGAATTTTTGAGGCACTGGTCTCCTTTTCGTGGTTAGTAATTTTAAGACTACTCTAGCACTTTCTCCCTGTGTTTAATCTAAGCCACATTGACAATGTTGTGAGGTGTCATAAGTTCATTCCTGAGTGCCACAAGTCACTACTAACAACATATTATACTTTTGTGTCTGGGGGGTTCTTTTGAATTCTTGGACTTAGGTTGAATTTCTAGGTTCCTAAGAGAGAAATACATATGTCGACATATATATATATATATATATATATGTCGACAAATATAGATATAATATATATTAAAATATATTATATAAATATATTAATAAATAAAATATATTTACTATATTATATATCCATTTTATATATTTTATATATTTTATATATTATAACTCTATAATATATTAGATACATTTTTATATATTATAAATCTATAATATATTAGATACATTTTTATATATTATAGATATATTTTATATATAATAGATGTATTATAAATATAAATGTAAGATATATCATATATATGATATATTATCTGATATATGATATATTATCTGATATGTGATATATTATCATATATGATATATTATCTGATATATGATATATTATCTGATATATGATATATTATCATATATATGATATATTATCATATATATGATATATTATCTGATGTATGATATATTATCTGATGTATATGTTATCATATATATGATATATTATCATATATATGATATGTTATCATATATATGATATATTATCATATATATGATATATTATCTGATATATGATATATTATCTGATATATGATATATTATCTATATAATATAGATATATGATATATAATATATAGGTATATTATAAATATAATATAGATAGATTTTTAAAAATATGTATATATTAAAGCCATTGACCTTCATGTAGTTGTAACGCTGCAAGATCTCTGTAGTACAACATCAACATCCCAGCTTAAGGGGGGATACCTTAAGCTGGTGATACCAAGCTGTGATACCAAAACACAGACTTACGCTGTCTTCAACTATCTTAAGCTATCTGTCATTAAGAGATTTAAAAAGAAAAAAAACCTATGGACCTTCAGCTGTATTGCTACAAGATTTCTGTTTATGACTTCCCAATTTACAAAGAACTTTCACGATCACTTATCTCATGGAACCTTCGTGACTTTATGACCACCTGTGCAGGAGAAGGGGAATATATTCTCAGCCTCATTTTATAGAAGAAATCGAAACTGCAAAAGATTAAATGAATTGCCCAAGGTAACCTAGTCAGAGATGGCAAGAAATCTTCAGCTTCAAATTCTATCATCTTCCAAGCTTCCTAGACATAAATAGAAATGTCTATATTTTCCAGTTTAAGCTACAAACTGTAAGATGCTGTAATTCTTTGTTAGTCATGTGCACTTTGGGTGAGGATTTCCAGAACTTGTTTTTTAAAAACATCTGGAAACATCAAAAGCATAAGATTTTTAAGAGGGAAATTCATGATTTTCTACTAACATGTCAAAATGTAAATTTTAGGTTAAGATTGAGTATGTATAATTTATTCTTTAAACAGTCTGTAATCATAAGTAAACTCAATTGAAAGTTTAATTACATGTTTATTTTGGCCTCACTTAACAGGAATAAAAAGTTTATTTTGTAATGTATTTTTATAAAGTCAAGGAAGAAAAAATAAAATGCAAACCACAGGAAACACACAAATAAGATGCCCTTAGTACAAATGTCTTTTGAAACTCATTAGCTATTACTGATAAAGCTCTAGTTAAAACTGTGCAATTAGAACCATGTGTGAAATAGTTGAATGTGCAATCAAGAGTGAAAGAAAACATGCATGTTTTGCTTTATTTTATTTTATTTTATTTTATTTTGAGACAGAGTCTTACTTTGTTGCCCAGGCTGGAGTGCAGTGGCACAATCTCAGCTCACTGCAACCTCCACTTCCAGGTTCAACTAATTCTCATGTCTCAAACTCCTGAGTAGATGAGACTACAGATGTGCATCACTGCGCCCAGCTAATGTTTGTATTTTTAGTAGAGACACAGTTTCACCATATTGGTCAGGCTGGTCTCAAACTCCTGGCCTCAAGTGATCCACCTGCCTTGGTCTCCCAAAGTGCTGGGATTACCGGCATGAGCCACTGCACCTGGCCAAGATGCATGCTTTTTATTAAGAACTAAAGTGTGTTATAATTGGGTTGAGTTTCTACCCAGATGGCCCCACTCATGCTGACATCTGCAAAGTGTATGTACAATTGTGTTGAGGTGTTATCTACTGTGGCTGTGTAGACATGTGTTACTGAGTTAAAAACCAAGACTTTGGAGTCCCTCATGCTGATTCCTGCTAACACATGCTGGGAAGCCTCTGTTATTCAGAGTAGGCAGAATCCCATGTGTTTCACTATTGGGAAAGATTTGGAAATATTTAGAGCAGTTATAAATATATGGTCTTCAATATGAAATCAATAACTGAAGTGTAGATTCAAGGATACCAGAGTCTACACTAAGTTTGCAAAACAGTTACCTCTGAAATGCAAATCTTAAGAAAATGCTTCTTTTAAGTTGTGAAATGTCATGGTTGAATACATATTTTCATGTCATATTTATCTAATGGGAGTCATGCTCTTAGACTTAAACAAAGAGAAATCCCCCTCTATATGAAAATTGGTGCTCAAGTTTTTTTTTTAATTGACAAAAACTGTATAAGGCTGGGTACAGTGGCTCATACCTGTAATCCCAGCACTTTGGGAGGCCAAGGTGGGAAGATCGCTTGAGTTCAGGAGTTCAAGGCCAGCCTGGGCAACATAGCAAAACCTTGCCTCTACCAAGAAAAAAAAGCCCTGCATGGTGGCATGCACCCGTATTTCCAGCTACTTGAGAGGCTGAGATGGGAGGATCACTTGAGCCCAGAGAAGTCGAGGCTGCAGTGAACTGTGATCGTGCCACTGCATTCTAGCCTGGGTAACAGAGTGAGACCCTGTCTCAAAAAAAATTGTATATATTTATCGTGTACAATGTAATGTTTTGATCTATTTATACATTGGGAAATAATTAAATCAAGCTAATAAACATATTCATTACCTAGCATGGTTGCCTTTTGTGTATATGTGTGTGTATATTAAGAATGTTTAAAATCTATTCTCTTGGTCACCTCTCTGTACAATAAATCTCCATAATTTACTCATCCCAACTGAAACTTTGTACCTTTTGACAAGCATCTCTCCAATCCCTTCTGCCCTCCCCAGCCTCTGGTAACTACCATTCTACTGTTTGCTTCTATGAGCCTGACTTTTTTAGATTCCACATATAAGGGAGATCATGCAATATCGGTGGTTTTGTGTCTGGCTTGTTTCAGGCACAAAATTATTTGTGCCTTAGCATGATATCCTCAGGTTCATCCATGTTGTAGCAAATGAGAGGATTTCCTCTTTTAAGGCAAAATTGTGTTCCATCATATACACACCACATTTTCTTTATTCATCCGTTGAAGGACACCTAAGATGATCCCATATCTTGGCTCTTATGAACAGTGCTGCCATGAACATGGGGGTGCAGATATATTTTCAATATGCTGATTTCCTTTCCTTTGGATATATGCCCAGTAGTGGGATTGCTGGATCATATGGTAGCTCTATGTTTAATTTTTTGAGGAACTTCCTTTAATGTTTTTCATAACATCTGTACTAATTTATATTCCCACCAGGAGTATGCTAGGGGTCCCTTTCTTCATATCCTCCACAACACTTGTTATCTTTTGTCTTTTTGATAATAGCCCTGCTAACACGGGTCAAGTGATGTCTTACAGAGGTTTAATTTGCATATCCCTGATGATTAGGGATGTTAAGCATTTTTTCACATATACCTGTTGGCCGTTTGTATGCCTTCTTTCATAAAATATCTGTCCAGGCCCTTTGACTAATTTTTAATCAGGTGATTTGTTTTCTTGCTGTTGAGTTCCTTATGTATTTTAGATGTTAGCCCCTTATGTACGTATAGTTTGCAAATATTTTCTCCCATTCATAGGTTGCCTCTTCACTTTGTTGGTTGTTTCCTTGGCTGTGCAAAAGCTTTTTAGGGGATTGGTTGGGTAGCGTGCATTGGCTCTGGTTCTAGGTGGGTGCAGTAGTATAGTTTCTCTGAAGCTTCTTCAGCTGTGATTAACATCAGTGATGACAGCAGGATTTGTGGACACGGTGGTGGCAAAGTAAGTTGTTAGGCTTTTTGATAGCAAGAGTTTCAGAAATCTTTCTGTTTTCATTTTTCCTACAGTGAGAAGACATAGCCAAGGAGATCCCTCTTTGTGTTGGGTCCAACATGGACTGCAGGCAGCCACGGGGTGCTATGTTTCAGGCACAGGTGCTCAGAGTGGCTGTGGAACTGGGGTCCTGTTTTTGAACTACTGTAGCCCCTGTGACGAGGGCACAGGTTCACTCTTCAGGTGTGGGTAGATGCAGCTCTCCCACCAAGCCAAGGGCTGTGACTGCAGCACTCACCTGTAGCCGAGGCCCAGGAGGCAGGGATGGAGCTATGACAGTGATCCTGGGTGTGAGGGTGCAGCGCTGGCATGGCTCTGCAGAGGAAGAGGTATTTCAGAGGCTCAGGCCCTGGAAAGTAGGGCACAGCTGCAATTCAGGTTCTGGAGCCAACAGGGCATATGAGAAAAAATACCACAATGTTGACTTTGAACCCTGGAGTGCTGGACACAGCAGTGGACCAGGCTCTGTGAGGCCGGGTGCGAATGTTGGCTTCACTCCCCAGGGAGGTGGGGAGCCTCAGCAGCTCATGCAATGGAGGTCTGAGCTCCAGCACTTAAGGGAGGTGGGTGCTGCTGCCATTTGGCCCAATAGTTGGGTAGTACAGCTCAGAGAAAGCTAAGTTTCCCGGAGAGGGTGGGCAAAGCACGGGCTCGAGTGCAGAGTCACAGCTGCCCCTCTGCACCAAAGCATCAATTCCCTGGGACCAAAG
Organism: Homo sapiens; assembly: GCF_000001405.40. Classification (NCBI taxonomy): domain Eukaryota; kingdom Metazoa; phylum Chordata; class Mammalia; order Primates; family Hominidae; genus Homo; species Homo sapiens. The sequence continues at coordinate 15,689,973 of NC_000010.11, read as the reverse complement.
CTCCCTTAAGTGCTGGAGCTCAGCCCTCCATTGTATGAGTTGGTTCTGGCGCCGAAGGGGTGCAGCTCCTCTGTGGGTTTGGATTCAGCTTTTCTGCTGGGCCCACACTCTGAGTAGCTGGCAGCAGGGCACAGTGGCAACTGGGATGGGCAGATGAAGGGCCCAGAGCGTAGGGAGCTGCAGCAGGTTGGCTGGGGATTGGTGCACGCTGTGTGTCTGTGTGAGGATAGTGAATGATGGCAGAACCTCAAGGATGGAGGGATGCAGTGGCTAGTGGCCCCCAGAGCGGGATGCACTCTAGCAGTGGCTCCTGTTTCCAGATGGCTCAGTGCAGTAGCTGCTCTGGTCACAGGAGTGGGGTACAAAGTGAGCTCCGTCTCTGGAGTTGTGCTGCTGTGTGAAATGCAGGTAGCTCCCCAGCTGGGCTCAGGGCTTGTGAGGACTGCAGAATTCTCCCGAAGCAAAGACTGCAGGTGTCCACGACAGTGATGGGGCTCAGGAGGCCTCCTGCTCATCTTTTCCTTCCTGGTTCTGAGTTCATCCTGGCTTAGGAGATGAAATGGTGGAGGCGAGAGGGTGGATCACTTCTCTCTGCGGCCATCCGGAGTTTCTATTCTCACAGGGTTTTTGCCACTCCCTTGCTGTTCTCCAGCGATCTCCTTAAGTTAGTCTGGTTGCAATGTAGTTGTCTGTTATTGTTTTGGTCCTTTTTTGTAAGGGAGCAAGTGTTAGGCCCCTCTAGTCTGCCATCTGGCTGATGCCATCTGTCCTAAGTACTTTTTAAATGCTATTGTAAATGGGGTTTTTGTATGTTGATTTTGTGTCCTGCCATTTTACTGGATTTGTTTATCATTTTCAAATAGTTTCTTGGTGAAATCTTTAGGGCATTCTATATATAAGACTATGTCATCTGCAAACAGGGACGATTTACCTTCTTTTCTGATTTGGATGTCTTTTATTTCTTTTTCTTGCCCAACTGCTCTGGTTAGGACTTAAAAGTTCTATGTTGAATGGAAGTGGGGAGAGTGAGCATTTGTTCCTGATCTTAGAGGAAAAGATTTCAACTTTTCACTGCTAAGTGTAATGTTAGCTGTGGGCTTGTGATGTATGGCTTTCACTGTGTGTAGGTACATTCCCTCTATAACTAACTTTTAAAGAGTTTTTATGTTGAAAGTAAATTGAATTTTGTCAAAGGCTTTCTCTGCATCTATTAAGATGATCATATGGTTTTTGCCCTTCATCTCATTAATGTGGGGTAGCACGTGTATTGATTTGCTATGTTGACCTATCCTTGCATTCCAGGGATAAATCCCACTTGAACATGATCAATGATACTTTTAACATGCTGTTGGATTTGAGTTGCTAGTATTTTGTTGAAGATTTTTGCACTTATGTTTATCAAGGATATTAGCCTGTAATTTTCTTTTCTTGTAATGCCCTTGTCTGGCTTTGGTATCAGGATAATGCTGGCCCTTGGATTATTTCCTTCTCTTTTATTTTTTTGAGACAGAGTCTTACTTTGTCGCCCAGGCTGGAGTGTAGCAGCACAATCTCAGTTCACTGCAACCTCCACCTCCTGGGTTCAAGTGATTTTCTCATCTCAGCCTCCCAAGTAGCTGGGACTACAGGCATAAGCCACCACGCCCAGCATTTTTTTTTTTTTTTTTTTTTGGTATTTTTTGGTAGAGACAGGGTTTCACCATGTTGCCCAGGCTGATATTGAACTTCTGTTCTCAAGTGATCGTCCCGCTTCAGCTTCCCAAAGTGCTGGAATTACAGGCATGAGCCACCATACCCAGCCTCTTTTCAATTTTTTTGGAGGAGTTTGACAAGGATTGGTATTAGTTCAAGTATTTTTAATGTACAAATTTATTATGTGTTTTAATTGGCTGCCACATTTTACAAATTATTAACTCTTCCTATCTTCTTTGACAGACAACAGAAAGATCAGAGTTAATGGAACCAAAGAACCTATCGAGTTCAAATCCAATCAGTGGTTTGGAGCAACAGTGAAAGCTCACAAAGGAAAAGTTGTGGTGAGTATGAGCCGTGGGCTTGTGCTGCTGCTTTGGAGTATGGTGTGCACTGGAATGTTTTCAAGCTCATGTTTAGGAAAGCTCTTTCCTAAAGGAACATGTTAGACTTTCAACGATAAGGCTGTTGGCATTTTAAAAGCAACTAAATGCTTAAAATTAAAGAATGTATTTTAGTGTTTAAAGCTATAGGAAATAAAGCCTGTTTTCCAGAAGAGCAGTTAAATATTTTCAAATATTTCAAAAACAACTAAGAAAAGTAAAAGCTACATCTTAAAGTGGTAAAATATTATAGTGCTTAAGACTGACTTAGGGGCTACTTAAAATCTGACCAGAAAAATGGGACTATTCCCATAAGGATGCTAAGTTAATCTGCTGTGGTTTCATTGATCCTTTTTACACCGAAAGGAAAGCTGTCTTTCATAATAATTTTTAAACGGCTAACTGCATGATTCTCTGAGTTCATTAATACTTTTTAAAGTAAAAACACTCATTCTCAAATAGATAATCTTTCAGCTTCAAAGTGCTATGACTTAATAATTCTATTATTTTATTGTTCTGAGCAATGATACATGTCTAAGTTACCGAGAAGAAAATGACTATTGAAGTAATCTGGAAGTCTTTTTTAGTTTGGGGATTTTTTCAACCTATTGGCTTTAATTTCCTTACAACAATAAAGCAATAACTTTGGCTTTTAGGATTTGTTGAAATCTACTTGAATTATGATTTAATAAGAATAAGTATCTAAAGGAAATGCCTTACTTTATTTAGTCTGTTAACCCCAAAAAGATTTTGACATAAAACAGGTAAGGTATAAAGAGTATACAGCCCTCTCCAGTTAAGAAATCCAACATTCACAATATAGTTTTTGTAGAGTTGTCTTTGCATTAATATAATTTTCACATTCCAGAATTTGTAAGAACTTTTTAAGGTGGTATATGCCTTATGGGAATTGCTGTTGAAAAATTAACTCTGTAATAACTGTTTGGGGCTTTAAAAATCTTTTGGATACTGTTTTGATTTTTTTGTGTGTCTTGAAATTTTAGCTGTAACATATAATAGTTGCATATTTATTCAATAACTGTAGAAACCCTCAAAACAATGGAAACTACAATAATACACCGTGTTCATAATAAAAAATGATTAATTTTTGGCATGCCTGCATTTTCTAAAATACGTGATGGGAAATAGGATAATACAGAGTATATTTCAAGCTAAATTTTTTGAGTGCTGAAACTTAGCAGAATGAACATTTAAATTCTTTCCTATATGGTATAATTTTATAACTGCAAAATCCTACCTCCAGAAGTATCATTTTTGTATATCCAGGTACCATGGGTATACATAGCGGGTTTGGGTCAAAGCCTAAATATGTCCCATCAGTATGTTTCACATCAATGTGAAACTGAGCAGATTGAAAGAGTAACTTTTTAGAGCTAATATCAGGCAAACACTAGAAAGAATTTTCATGGCATGAAATGCCTTTTGATGAAACAGAAGGTGAGGCCAGTTGGAGAAGATCAAGCTACACAAGTGAATGCTTCATGATGTAGACTTCCCTGTGCTTTCGCATCTGCACCTTATGCTGAATTTATGAACCAGATAACTTGGGGAACCTAGAAGAGTTAGAGAGTTTTGGGGTATTGGCCAAGACTTTACAATATATAGAGAGGCAAAACCAAACAACTGAAGTTGTAGAAGGGTAATTTATTTGAGACTAGGAGTTATCTTTACTAAAAATAGTTATACATTGGGCCAAATTACCAAGGACAGATTTGGAAGCATAGACTACTTTCAAATTGGAATCTTTTTTCACTTCTCTGGAATTAAGTGTGATACCATACTATCAAATTAGAAGGCAGGCTAGCAGCTCTGTGTTCTACGATTCTGTCTTTAGAGATGAGTATTTGGAGAATCAGGTACAATATTTACAGAAGGTTCAGGCAAGAAAAACAGAAGTCCAAACCAAGCTAATGTTTTATATGCATTTATTTCCTCTCTCATTCCTAACAAAATGTTATTTCATTTACTTGACGAGGATTTCTCGTTATTTCATTTACTTGAAGAAGATTTCCATACAGTGCTCTTGTGAGAATCTAAACTTCTAAAAAAGCAGCCAGATCATTTCATGTTTTTCTTGCTGTTGTTTCAATTTATTTTTGCCGATAATGTTTCTGATATTAGGCAAACTAATTCAGAAGCAGTTCCCTCTTTTTACCATAATGTAATTCTAAAAAGGGGTCATAGGCAATGACATAAAGTATGTCTTATTTTCTCTAAAGCAACATTCTGAAAATGAAAAGGCATGGATGAGGCATCAAATCAGTTTCTGATATGACAAATTATAAATCATAAAAGCAAATATATAACAACAAATGCATAATCATTTGGTATTGTAAAATTATGTTTCAACTTCTATCTGATAGGCATGCATTTAATTCAACATGTTATACATCTATTAATCAAGTTTTATATGCAAACCTTCATATATAAGTCCTGTGGGCAGTTAAATCAATTCCAAAAAAGGTTCCAAAGTATGAGCAAATATTTGTACAGTACGCAACATTATTTAATTTACCACTCTATATGTTAGCTGGAAATAAGCATAGGACATTTTGTTTCTAACCCTTTGGTTATTTGCCGCCTTAGAATGGAGAGGGCATTTATGAAATAATTTGGATAACTCTCCTTTCTCAAAAAGATTGTCTGAGGGCACTGGAGTTTATCTCGATAAATTTCTCCATAACAAGGAGGGCCAGAGACTTGAATTGCCTCACCTGTGGTGTTTAATGCCTTGGAAATGCTTGTAGCTCATGAACATGCTCTCTTACTGACTTTGTGATCATCCCTGATAAAATTGCTAAAACAGGCATAAGATGCTTCTACTTTCAGTTTTGCCATGAATAAAAACCATGAAGTGAAAAACCAAGCCAAAAACACTGTGAAAATGGAGAAGTGCGTCCAGATGAAAGTCATTGTTTAAAAGTCATAAGATGCGGCTTCCGTGATAAACTAGGGGGCGTCACAAAACAGAGGTTTACTAGCTTGTTTGCATCCTTTAATTTGAAAGTCATCTTTTAAAAGCAATAATTAGACACAGAAAGGAACTTGTTCTCATAAGACATCACACTGATTAATTCACTGTTTACATGATCATTTGCTTTTATGTAGGTCCAATTAAAAAGAAAAGAAATATGAGTTATTCGCTTTTAGGAATTAATTTCTGCTTGCTTCTTCGGGCAAAAAAAAAAAATTTAATTTCTATGGGGCCTAGGTGCTGTGGCTCTTCCCTATATTTCCAGCACTTGAGGAGGCTGAGACAAGAGGATCACTTAAGCCCAGGAGATTGAGACCAGTTGGAGCAACATAATAAGATTCTGTCTCTACAAAAAACAAAACAAAACAAATTAGCCAGGCATGGTGGTGTGTGCCTGTGGTCCCAGCTACTTGGGAGGCTCAGGCATGAGGATCACTTGAGCCCAGGAGGTTGCGGCTACAGTGAGCTGTGATCATGCCTCTGCACTCCAGCCTGGGTGACAGAGCAAGACCTTGTCTCCAAAAAAAAAAAACTATTGTCAGAAAACTCATTTTTTTTTGCATGTATTTAATTTTCACCAATTCTACAGTGTGTTAACATTAAAAATTAGTTTTGGAAGTTTAATTACCTCTGATGACCAAGGCACTCATTAGCATGCTAGAGGCCAATTAATTCACCCAATAATTTAACAGTTTGTTATACCAATAATTCAAATAAAACTGTAGTATGAGAAACCTACATCAAAAATGTATTTTTTTGTCTTTGATGTTTCCTAGGCCTGTGCTCCTTTATATCACTGGAGAACTCTTAAACCGACACCAGAAAAGGACCCAGTTGGCACCTGCTATGTAGCAATTCAGAACTTCAGCGCCTATGCCGAGTTCTCTCCTTGCCGGAACAGTAAGCAACTTTTATTCCTTGAAACTGACATTAGCTCAAGTGCTTTTCTATCGTAGACAGGAGTGCAGGTAGGCTCAAAACACCATTGATAACTTACAGGGTTGCAAGGAAAAAGCTTCGGGGGTAGGTAAAGATTTTTGTCAGCCTTACAGGTGTCTTGATGTGACAGCAAGTCAAAAGCGTGGAATTCTACTGATCTTCTGTGTTTTAGAACATTTCTGATTTAAGATATTTTGCAGAATTGATTGGTTCCTTATTTTAGGCCATAAGGTGTCAGTTGCTGTTCAAAATTCACGTTCCGTGTCCTAAAGAATGCTGACTGCCCACTTTATTTGTTTATTGCCAAAACGGTGTTAGCTAGCATGGTTGGACCTGGGCATATGTTCAACTTGAGATTTCTGTCTGGCTTGTGTTCTCAATGGCTGTTTCTTCTTTACCAGCTGTGTATGCAGATTGTCTGCATGATATGCCTTTCTGCTTAAGATGTTTAATCCTTTTTTTCAAAATGACTCTGTATACTTAGAGTTCAAATCTCATCTGGCAGTTCTAGGAATCTTGCAGCCAAGCAGTCTTTAAAGCAAACCTGGGAGTGTCATCTTTGGGGCATTGTGTTTTAATCACTTTATCTCTGTTGAATACCCCAGACTTGGGATAGCATAATGGATGGATGGATGGGTGGGTGGGTGGGTGGGTGGGTGGGTGGATGGGTGGATGGATGGATGGATGGATGGATGGGTGGATTCATCTACTCAGAGTCCTTTAATTAACTCCTCCAGTTTTCAGTGTGCCAGATAGATCACTAGGATTTGTTGATAAGATACCTATGGATTTTCATTCTTGTTGATAATTCACAAGACCATATTGGAGGGAAAATGTAGTAGAAAGAAGATTCTAGGACTGATTTCAGGAAATTGACTTAAAGAAAAAACACTAAATCCCAAATTAGCTTGAGCTCTAAAATGTAAATTTTCCCCCTTTTGCCTGAGTGTTTTTAAAATTTCAGGATTAATGTAGGGAAGATAATGATCAAATGCCATAAATAAATGAAGAGAAAAAATCGATTAGTGATATTAGAGGGTTAACAAAGAGGCTGCTGAGATTTAGAAGCCTAAATAACAGGCAGTAGAAATTTTTTTTTTTTTTTTTTTTTGAGACAGGGTCTCACTCTGTCACCCAGGCTGGAGTGCAATAGTGTGATGATCATGGCTCAATGTAGCCTCGACTTCCTGGGCTCAAGCAATCCTCCCACCTCAGCCTGCCAAGTAGCTGGGGCCACAGGCATGTGCCACCATGCCTAATTTTTGTATTTTTTGTAGAGAGGGGTTTCTGCCATGTTGTCCAGGCTGGTCTTGAACTCCTGTGCTCATGCGATCCATCCGCCTCAGCCTTTCAAAGTGCTGGGATTACAGTCGTGCGCCGCCACACCTGGCTTGAACATTTAACCTGATGGCTTTTAGTGAGGATTTTTAACAAGGAGAAGATTATTGCTTTCTGTTTAAAAATACTGAGGTAAATCAGACACTTCTTCAGATTACAACAAATGTCAGCTGAATGGATAGTCCATGGAATAAGGATTTTATTTTAAATAGCTTTAAAGTAGGGGTTCTTTGTAGTTCATGGGACTCAATTATTTATTCAATGCAGGATTTCTTTAAAAAGAAAAACCACACATTGAGCAGTAAACTAACTCTTCTATGTTTAGGAAATTCAGCAAAGAACAAGAGGGAAAAAGCCCCCTGTTCAAGGAACTGCCTCTAGACAGTAAACATGTAAATAAATGTGTTTATGATGCAATGTCAGGCAGTGAAAAGTGCTACAAAAAAATACAGCAAGACGAGAAAGAAGGGAGAGACCTGTGCTGGGGAAGCCAGGGGAGGAGCAGCATTTTAGACAAGACGATAGAAAGGGATTCTTCTAGCAAATGATTATTGGAGGAGAGAAGAGAGAAACTTCCCGGACTCAGGCAACAACCAACATGAGGCATAGTTTGTGTCATGTTCCATTCAAAGTGCTGTGCTCTTGGGTTTATTAAGAGGTCAGTATTGTTATGCTAAAGATAAAATCCCACAAACAATAACAAAGGATATCCAAAATATATCAGAAAATGAATGGTAGTGGAGAGATTCATTATTGAACTTTTCATCAATATTTACACCTGTCCATATCCTATACTCCATGATTTGCCCATGTTCCTGTTCTGTGATATTGACCATATGCTCATGGACAAGCTGGCTTGTTCAACAAACAGCAAATAACTGTAACTAAAGACAAGACCATCCTTCATATGCCTTTTGCCTTGATAATGTAGGTTATTCTTCCAACTGCCTTGAAGGATGATATTTATAAAACTAGTCACTCCTTGTTCTGCCTTTTTGCCAGACTACCTGTGTGGGATGTGAGGGCTCAGATCAAAATACAGCACATGAAATGCAGACTTGTAGGGGAAAAGTTTCAGAGTGAGTTTGAACCATTTTTTTAAAAAGTACACTAATGTACATTTGCATCTTAAGCTACATGGACACAGTAGCCTAACAGCTCAACAAAGACAGAATGGAGCACATGTTGAGTTGCAGAATAGCTCAATAAATTGCCATGAATTATTTCCTTTGTGGTGTATAGCCACAGTTTTCACATCCTCCTGGTCTCCCTATTCCTACGGGTACTTCTTCCTCCTCAGATCATCCAAGAAGCAGACTTCCCGTCATGGCCAAGAAGTTCACAGATCATTAACACAAAGCCAGCTTGTTCATGAGCATATGGTCAGTATCCCAGAACAGGAAACATCAGCAATATTATTTTCAAAAGAGAATTTAAAGAAGCTCCTCATGTTAATCTTATACCGCAAACCCGCTCTGCTGATATTGTTAGACATTACCTGCTCATTCATATTGATGACCTGCCTATGGCTCTCATGGTCATTCATAATTCAGGTGGAGATGGTTCATACACACACCCTTCCATTTGTTGGGTAAGACGTCAACAAATAGTAGCAAATTATCCACATGCTTCCTTGGATTCCTGAGTTCACTCTAGGACATAATTATCAAGTTCACAAATGCTCTGAAGTCCCAGGAAGAAAGAGTCCTTCAGCTCTCATAAATTATGATTCAACAAGGAAAAAAAAAAAGACTTTGCAATGGAAAGAACCTCACACTCTATTATAATTGCCACTTACAATAAACATTTGGAGCTGATTATTTTCTCAGTGTATTTTGTAAAAAAAAAAAAAATGAATGTTTTCTCTTAATTTTTTTCAGCCTGCTGTTTTAAAGCAATACTTTCAAAGAATGGTCATGTTTCTTCCCTTTCGAATAATTTACAATCATAAAAATAAAAAGTCAGGGTTGAATTTAAAAGGGATTTTTAAAAGGCTTGTGCATGGAAAAATAAATATAAAAACACATATGAACACATATATGTTCAGAGTAATATCTCATGCATTCATATATACTTCTGGATGCATATAAATATTTACACATATGAGCTTCTAGAAAATTGATACTTAGATATTCCAGATTATAGAGATGAGCTTTTAGGGAACTTTATAGGATTCATGACCATAAATCATGAAATATAGCGGTAAAATAAGGAACAAATTTTGTTAAAATACAGTGCATGAGGTTAAAAAGTGTTTTTAAAAATAAAGGACTCGGGAGGCTGAGGCAGGAGAATGGCGTGAACCCGGGAGGCGGAGCTTGTAGTGAGCTGAGATCGCGCCACTGCACTCCAGCCTGGGCAACAGAGGGAGACTCCATCTCAAAAAAAAAAAAAAAAAAAAAAAAAAAAAGGAGCATCTGGAAAAAATTGATGGTGACAGCGCTAAAACTAGCTAACTAATGACCAAAGGAAAGAAAAAACCGGAAGACATTCTAAGGGAAGCCGGAAAGGCCAGGTCCATTTCAAAAAGCTTCTGAACAGGCGCATGCCCAGTCATCAATATTTCCTGTGATGACATGTATTTCCTTTCCTGTTCTCTTATTTCAGTTTCCATTGAGGAATATCCTTGATAAGAAAGAAATAATTATTTACATGTCCAAATCTAACTATGCAGGATTGAGATTCCCTCTACTTAATTCACTACATTTTGGCTATTTTAGGCATGTTAGAAGTTGTAGAAACTCTTTTAAAGTACAAGTTACAAGTAGTAAATTCCTGGTCCTAATGCCCTACAGACTTTTGATAACAATAGCCTTGAAATCAACGTGTTGGCCTGCCTATAGCTTACAACTGTACCATGAGATCCTATTGGACAATGAGTTAGTGAATCATATTGGATAGAAAGCAAGATAAGCCACTACTAGAATTTTCTCTTTTGTGAACACTAGCATTGCAATGTCCAGTGAGACTGTGACCAGAAATGCAATTTCCCAATTTACCTAGCCTATTATAATAGGATAATTTGTTTTTATTATTATTTTGTTTGAGTTGGAGTCTTGCTCTGTCACCCAGGCTGGAGTGCAGTGGCATGATCTCGGCTCACTGCAACCTCCGCCTCCTGGGTTCAAGAGATTCTCCTGCCTCAGCCTCTCAAGTAGCTGGGCCTGCAGGCATGCACCACCATGCCCAGCTAATTTTTGTGGTTTTAGTGGAGATGGGGTTCACCATGTTGGCCAGGATGGTCTCAATCTCTTGACCTCATGATCTGCGCACCTTGGCCTCCCAAAGTGCTGGGATTACAGGCATGAGCCACCACAACTGGCCATAATAGGATAATTTAAAATTAAGTTCCTCTTAAAGAGCGTAACAGTGGAAATGCTTATTGGTGGCCCAGAAGATGACATCTACAAAGGTCATCTTGCACTGCCCCTTCTTCCTCAAGGTGTCAACTTTTGGGAATGACAGACCTATCTGCCTTCACACAGCACGAGGGGGCAAAAGAGAGACACGTTATTGCCTCATGGGAAATTTGGAATATAGTCAAAGATAGAGATTTTATTTCTTCAAATGAAAGTGAGTCATAAAACCCAATAGAGTAGCCAAAAGGGATGTTATTCCTGTTGATCTTACTAGAGAATCACAACGCTATTTGGTGTAAGAAAACAGACAGAAATATGTTTAATAAATTACTTGAACAACATTTTAAAAATAAACATAAAACACATATTGATCATTTTTAATTTAGAAGGTTCTAGAGAAAATAACATAATATCCTGAATTGGTTATTAAAAAATATTTCAGGAATGATAACGTTATAACATTTATGTATTTTGATCGTTCTAGGCAATGCTGATCCGGAAGGCCAGGGTTACTGCCAAGCAGGATTTAGTCTGGATTTTTATAAGGTGAATTATTTTGGTCTCGCAGTTCCTAATATTTAATCTGATTTTTTTTTACCCTCTGCCTCTCACTCCCACACCCCAAAACCACCACCACCACCAAAGAACCAAAGAATCTTGAGGAACATACCTAGCCTGTTTGGGCAAATGCTTTCTAAAAAAATTTTTCCATTCACTTTTTATTTTTATGTAAATAATTTATGCACATAGCGGCCTATTAAATAGTAGAGAAATAGACATGATAAAAAGCAACAGCCTTTCTTCTGATCCTTTGTGGCAATAATTTTTTAAATGAAAATCTAAAAAACTCAGTAATGTTTCTTAAAAAGATCACATGAATCTATTCATTGTTTTGTTAACTGTAATTGACCAGTTACATTTAATATTAATATTAAAATTCATATATCCTTTCAAAAAATTAAAAAGAGATGTTCAGTAAGAATGTAGAGGGAAAAGATTCTGTGGTTTTGAAAATAGTATAGAAAAATTTCATCAACGTATAAACTGTTTACTGTCTTTTATCATTCTTTTTATCATTACTTTTTTGTTTTTATATTTTCCACTGAGAGTTAAAGATATGAGGCACGAAAGGTGAGGATGTCAATTCATGAGAAAATGTTTATATTTGCTAGTCTGGAGTGTTTGCTCTTTCTCCTGAGAAGGGGGTGGCACTGGGGATGTATGGAAAAAAATAGGCATTACTATGTCCTTGAAATAAATTGGAACAGAATTTTATTTCTATCACGAAGGCTCAAAAGACCATGTCTGCAAAACTGCACAGCACTAAACATGTTGATATTTTGCTTATGAGGCAGTGCCAAAAAACAGAATTTATCTCTCTCAAGGGAGAGAGTTCAACTTACCTAATTGAGTCAAATTAAAATTATTTAATATGATAACACACTAAATAATTGAAAACAAAAGAGGAAAGAAAATGAACTGCAGGCCTCCGAAGGATCTCTTTTAAAAATTGCTTTTTATGTGTAACAAATTGTTAGAGCAATGCTTATTAACAACAATTTATCACCCTTTAAAAATGTTTAGTATTTCTTTTCCAATTATGGTTGCTGTTGCTGTTTCTGTTTTGTAGAATGGAGACCTTATTGTGGGAGGACCTGGGAGTTTCTACTGGCAAGGTATGTTCTGTTGGCAGACAAGAAAAGCACATTTGTTGTTACTAACAGAAGGATGGACCCAGAAGTAGTGTTAAATGTTTACTTTCTATTACCTTAATTTTATATCCTTATTCATAGTTTCTCAAATGAAGCGTTATTTCTTTTTTTTGCTTTTAATATTTTATTTTAATTGACAAAACAATTGTACATATTTATGGGGTACATGTGATATTTTCATACATGCTTATGATGTGTAATGATCAAATCAGGGTAATTAGCATAACCATCACCTCAAACATTGATCATTTGTGTTGGGAACATTTTAAATCTCTTCTAGCTATTTAAAAATATGAGATAAATTGTTGTTAACTATATTCACCTTATAGTGCTATAGAATGTTAGAACTTATTCCTCCTACCAGGCTGTACTTTTGTGTACATTAACCCATCTCTGGCTATACCTGAATCTCTATTCATCCTTGCCTCTAGTAACCACTTTTCCACTCTCTACTTCGATGAGATCAACTTTTTTAGCTTCCATGTATGAGTGAGAACAAAAGCATCATTTCGATTTGTACTCTCATTTGTTTTCTGTTTTTTTTCTGAGACAGAGTTTCACTCTTGTTGCCCAGGCTGGAGTGCAATAGCACAATCTCGACCCACTGCAACCTCCACCTCCTAGGTTCAAGCAATTCTCCTGCCTCAGCTTCCTGAGTAGCTGGTAATACAAGTTCCCACCACCATGCCCAGCTAATTTTTGTATTTTTAGTAGAGACGGGGTTTCACCATGTTGGCCAGGCTGGTCTCAAACTCTTGACCTCTGGTGATCCACCCGCCTCAGCCTCCCAAAATGCTAGGATTACAGGCCTAAGCCACTGCCCAGCCTGTACTCTGTAATGTAAATAATATTTTAAAATACTCTTGCAACTTAACAATTCATTTCTCCATCAACAATGTGTTGAGGCTCTGCCAAGCTCTGTGGTAGAGGCTGGGGACACATTAATGAGTAAAAACAGACATTGTTCTTACTGTCATGGAGGTTAGTATCTAGAGAATGATAACAGGCATTAATCGAACTGTCACAGGGGTACCCAAGAAACCCCAACTGTGATACACAATCCGAAGCAAAGGCATGTGGTGATGGGGCTGGGAGAAATTAGGAGGCTTCTCCTGGGTGGCTGTGGACAGGTGTGTTTTGTCCTCTGACCACTGGCTGACAGGGAGCTGGAATACAACCTGTGCTCTGCTTATGGAGCCATGAACCCAGGTACAGACAGCATCTGCTGAGAGGAAATTACGTCTTCTAATTCTTGCTAAGGTGCTGCATAGGCCAGCAGCAACGCAAAGTTAACTTGGAAAGCAAACAACCCTGAACTGAGATCTGGACCTTACGTAGGAGTACCTAGGTGAAGAGAAGAGGGACCACGTGCAGATGTACTGTGGGAGGCAGGAGGGCAGCGTAGGTGAGAATGGAGGAAAGTCAAGGTGACCGGAGTTAAGAGAGTGAGGGAAGAAGAGCTTGGGTGGTATGGAGTGGCCCGCTAATTTCACAAAAGAATGGATGATGTGAAATTAACATTATTATGTTAATAAAAAATTTATCATAAATTTTCATGATATTTTTACCATAAATTATGTTAATTTCACATCATCCATTCTTTTGGTTGAAAAAACGTAGGATACAAATGATTTGCTGAAAATTTACCATAGCAATGGCATATACAAGCATTTGTCTGAGACATAGAAATTTAAAATTTTATTCAGGTTTCACATTGAAGGCTTGCAGTCCATGCTAAGCAGTTTTGTCTTTATTCTACAAACTATGGAAAACCACTGGGGGATTTTAAGAGTTTAAATAGATGGCTTTAGCTAGAGTAAGAAGATGTTGTTTGTCCTGAGTGTAGTGACAAACTATGAAGTGAGTTTAAGCATGGAGTGCTACAATCAAATTATGTTTTGAAAGGATCATTCTGGCTGCGTTACAGAAAATAGATTGAAAGTTGGCCAAGGTGAAATATCAGCAAAGTAGTTACAAGGTTGTTACAAGGATATAAACTAATTTTAAGTTTATAAGGTAAACAAGTTGTATAAGTTTCAGGTAAAGTTGTCTGTTTCTTAGAGCGATGGTGGTACTGACTGTAAAAGAAGAGAAATTTGAGAAATACTTTGGAGGCAAAATAAGCAGCCTAAATGATGGGTTGGATATATGCTGGTAAGGGAAGAAAGGTGGTAAGGGAGTGTTTCTGACGCCTGCTACTGAATGGCTGTAGGTGGGTGCCGCTCACTGAGATACAGAACACTGGAAGAGGACCAGTTTAGAGTGGCCTGGAGAGGGAAGATGATGAGTTTACTTCTTGTTCTGTTGTGTATGAAAATATTTGAGATACCCAAAGGGTTTCACCTAAGTATTTAGGGCTTAAGCCCAGAGACCATCTAGAGTGAAATATAAATTTTCATCACTTCATACTGGTGATAACTCAGTCCATGGGTATAGATGGGAGGCCTAGAGAGAGAATACTGAGAAGATTCTATAATTTGGGCTATAAAGTTTAGGACAGAGTAGAATCTGAGATTAAGAGTTGAGGGAGGAATTTTTTTAATGGAAGAAACTTGATCATGTTTAAAAGTCATTGAGAAAGATCCAGGAGAGATAGATTTATGATTTTTTTTTTTTTGAGACGAGTCTCATTTTGTTGCCCAGGTTGGAGTACAGTAGTGTGATCTTGGCTCACTGCAACCTCTGCCTCCCAGGTTTAAGTGATTCTCCTGCCTCTGCCTCCTGAGTAGCTGGGACTAAAGTTGCATGCCACCACACCTGGCTAATTTTTGTATTTTTAGTAGACAGGGTTTCACAATGTTGGTCAGACTGGTCTCAAACTCCTGATCCTGGTCTCAAACTCATGATCCGCCCGCCTCAGCCTCCCAGAGTTCTGGGATTACAGGCATGAGCCACCACACCCAGCTGATTTATGATAAAATTGTATATAAACTTAATGTTAAGCTCAGTTCATGCATATACAATTATAAACATCAAACAATTAACATTTTGGTATTTAAAAACTACTCTGCAAACTGAAAAACTATATATTTTGCACAACAGATGGCTACAAAATTAAAATTATATTTACGGAAGGTTTTCTTCTAATTCACTTGGTTAATTTCACATAATCCATTCTTCTCCTTAAACTGAAAAAATGTCTGAGACAAATGATTTGCTAAAAATTTGCCATAGCAATGGCATATAGAAACATATGTTTGAGACATAGAATTTAAAATTTTATTCAGGTTTAAGATGATAATGTGTATATGTGTATAGACATAGCTAAAGGAAACAGCAAAGACAGTGTGTATGTGGGATGGAGGAAAGAGGGTATTTAGCTGTAACCCAGAGACAACTGGCAAATTCTACAGACAGTGTTCAGAAACTCATGTGTAAATACCATGGTCTTAATATCAGAATAGTCATTTCAAGTCCCAGTCACTTGGCAATATTTATGATCTAGTTTGACAGTTTCATTCTTTTGTGGACTTCCAACAGAAAGACTGTGGGAATTTTGTGTGAATTCCCAAAGACTAATTTGGCTTTCAAATTAATGTTAAATGATAGTCTTTTGAACGCATTTCTTCAGTTTTCTGCCAAAGAGCATGATATCACACTTTTGCCTTAGATGTCCATGGTAAACATGGGAATGCATAGAAATTGCAGCGGAAATTGCTGGTTGTCTTTTAGATACTTGTCTACCCCAAGGCAATCGTATTTCAAGACTTCTGACAGTGACTTTTGAGAGAGATTAACCAAAGTTCTTATCACGTCAATGTTGGTGCCCATGGATTTCTCTTTTGCTGAATTTTGGATCTCATTGGACCTAGCTGCTTCCCATTGTCCTAATTTTATGCTCTCTCTATATTTTAGCAAGAAAAGCAGATGGCTCAAAGAGTTTACAATTCCTTCATTTAACTTAGCTGATATATTTTATCATCTATTAATCAGATATGTGATTTAGATTGAATACAGTATCTATGCTTTGCAAGAGCACAAAATGTTTTATTAGAATACCAAAGGAAATGTTGGCTGTAATGCCTGATATCCTATTAGCAAAACCATATGACCTTAGAGAATGCACTGTAGCTCTTTGGGCTTCAGTTTCTCCACCTAGAAGAAGCTATATTTGACCAAATGATCTCAAAGCTTCCTTCCAGGTGGAATATTCCAGAATAAAAATTACATCATGGCCGGGCGCTGTGGCTCACACCTGTAATCCCAGCACTTTGGGAGGCCGAGGCAAGCAGATCACGAAGTCAGGAATTTGAGACCGCCCTTGCCAACATAGTGAAACTGCGTCTCTACTACAAACACAAAAAATTAGCCAGGCGTGGTGGTAGGTGCCTGCAGACCCAGCTACTTGGGAGGCTGAAGCAGGAGAATCACTTGAACCCGGGAGACAGAGGTTGCAGTGAGCTGAGACTGCACCATTGCACTCCAGCCCAGGCAATAGTGCGAGACTCTGTCCCAAAAAACAAAAACAAACAAACAAACAAACAAACAAAAATTACATCACATAAATTTTACTTGCAAATTTGGCCTCCACTCTTGGATACTTTTATCATTTGGAGGTGGAGTGTGTATGTTAAAAGCAGCAGGAAGACCAATAAAATATTGTAGTTCATCTCAGGTCTTCTGTCAGAATGGAAAGTTCTACCCAGCTGTAACTAACTCTGCCTTGGAGTTTGAGCGGCAGGCGGGAAAATTCATCATCAAAAAAGCAAGCAATTCCACCATAGCTTTCAAGGGAATGTGGGTCTGCTCATGGAGGGCCTGCCTCTTGCTTTCATTCAGTTAACGTATTAATTTGTTTAAACACAGGACAAGTGATCACTGCCAGTGTTGCAGATATCATTGCAAATTACTCATTCAAGGATATCCTCAGGAAACTGGCAGGAGAAAAGCAGACGGAAGTGGCTCCAGCTTCCTATGATGACAGTTACCTTGGTAAGACCCATTGCCCAAGACATTTGTGGTTTTTCAAAAGACAAGCATAGTAAATGTAGATGCAAGTTTTATCCCTGACTTATCCGATGTTATTTGGCATCTTATACAAATGTTCTCTTATTAGAGTGGACTCAATTTTTCTTTTCTTTTTAATACTGCTATTTTTCCAGCCGCGATGTGTAATACATAATGTGAGCAGCTATTTTGTTGGCTCCATAGCAGTTTTTTGCACATGAACTATTTCACCAGTAGTAGATACTATGTATTAGCAGGGCTGCTACCAGTGTGACAGGGACAGGATGATAGCAGCCTTCTTAGTTAACAGAGACGCACAAGAGAAGTTTGAGTTGCTGGAATATTCTCAAATTATATTATGCACAAACCACACAATGTCATTTCACCACTACTGTTTCCCAACTTTGGTTCCTAGTGGCCATTTGATTGCTTGATGAATTTGAAAAAGAAATGTAGCTATGTTTTGTCAATGTAGCCAGCACCTCACTTTAGAGCTAAACTAAATTGTGGAAAACCATCATGAGGTATTAGGAAGTAGGTCTTACTGGTGACCAGAAATAGCAAAACCTGAGCCCAAAGGAAATCTTTCAGAGTATTCTGTCTCATTATTTTCAATCAGCAGCTCTTAAAATGCAACAGCCACCATTTACTCTCAAGGTGGATTATGAAGTATCCATGCTTTTAAAATTGACCTCAGAATATCTCCCTCTTTTTTTTTTTTTTTTTTTTGCTTTGCTCCTACTTAAGTAGTAGATAATCTATTATGCACTCAGGACTTAGTATAAAAGTGTTCCTTTTGGTGTGATTAATTTTTCCCTTTATAGAATCTTTAACTTTTATAATATTTGTAGAGGTTTCTAAATAAAGCAGTACCATGGTAGCCCTTTCACCTTTTTCTAGATATAACTCATTAGGTTAAGTCATTAAGTGTGATTAGTTTGTTTCTTTTTCTTTAAAACAGGATACTCAGTTGCTGCTGGGGAGTTTACTGGGGATTCTCAGCAAGGTGAGAGGCACTGTTGAGTTTAAATCACTTATAAAGCATGGGGAAATGGTAAAATGGCATATAAAGTTTTTTCTATCAATGTGATTTTATTTGCTATACCAAAGGGATATTAATGGAGTCCCAGAGTGCCTATACTTTGTAGAAAAAATACTTTGATACAGCATTTTAAGTCTGAAAGAATTTTGTAAGAATGAATATCAACTTTATAAAATCTAGTTAAGCAATAAAATATTAGGGCCATAATCCCATGTTATGAATGAAAAATATAGATGACTAAATGCCATACTGTTAGTGACAGATCAAATTTGTGAAATTAAGATCCCTTCATTTCTAGTACCTCTCATATTGGACATGTCCAAAATTACTCTCCCCAACGAACTCCAATCCAACACCCCAACCTTACTTGCTTTTTCCTCTTTTAACATACCAAAACCCCAAATAACAAAACAAACGAATCCCTATCTCCTGTATATCCCTTCTGTCCTGTCTTCTCTGCTTTGCTGTGGCTGTTGTCTACCAGGGCTGATGGACATGAAATAATGAACACAGAATACCTAATTAAATTATGATAAGTGCTAGGATAAAATTCTAAACATAGAGTAAGAAAAGCTGTGGTGTTAAGAAAACGGAGCCTGGGATGATGACGGTGGGGGGTCAGACAGACAAAGGGGCAGGGGCCAACTTCTATATTCTAAGGTGTGTAGAAAATGCGGGTGTTGAAGGACCTCAGCTTGACTGCCAGACTTTGATAGTGAAACGAGATTGGCTTCGAGCAAAGTCTGGGCTCAGCTCATGTCCGGTTTTACGGGTCATGGAAACAATTCTGGGATCTATTCAACGTGCAGGGGAGAAGACATGAAAGGTTTCAGCTGAGGAGTAAATATAATGCAATCATGCTTGTAATCTAAAAGAAAAAAAGAGAACAAATCACACTGGCTGCCTATGTAGATTTGATTGAGATGAGAGTAAGGAAGAATGGTATCACATATATCACTTTTCTCTTCATGTCTACCTCCTTGAAGGCAAGGTCTATGTATTGTTATGTATTGTTATTATTTATCTCTTTTACAAAGACTAGACCATGTGTTGCTCGTAATAGATTCATACCGGAAACAGCTTGACAGAAATAATTTGAATCTTTGGAGTCAAGATCCACGTAGGTTCAAGTTCTGACTTCACACTCTCTATTCCTTAGGCTATGACAACCTCTCTGGTTCTTATTTGCTCATCTTTAAATGACACTAATATTAACTAACTCAAAATAATGTTCTGAAGATTGCATGAGCTAATGCATGAGGAATACTTAGATACAAGGCAATAAATGGGAGCTTTCACTCAACGGGTAATATTTATTGAATGAGTCAATCATCAATCAGTATTTACCATTTTCCATCTTGTTTCATATGAACACTGACTGCATTTCACTAATGCAAGTGGTTTAATTCACAAATAATTAAGAGTAAATGGAGTTGGGAGCCAAGATGGCCGAATAGGAACAGCTCTGGTCTACAGCTCCCAGCATGAGCGACGCAGAAGATGGGTGATTTCTGCATTTCCAACTGAGCTTTGAAGAGAGTAGTGGTTCTCCCAGCACGCAGCTTGAGATCTGAGAACGGGCAGACTGCCTCCTCAAGTGGGTCCCTGACCCCTGAGTAGCCTAACTGGGAAGGACCCCCCAGTAGCGGCGGACTGACACCTCACACGGCCGGGTAGTCCTCTGAGACAAAACTTCCAGAGGAACGATCAGGCAGCAGCATCTGCGGTTCACCAATATCTGCTATTCTGCAGCCTCTGCTGCTGATACCCAGGAAAACAGGGTCTGGAGTGGACCTCTAGCAAACTCCAACAGACCTGCAGCTGAGGGTCCTGTCTGTTAGAAGGAAAACTAACAAACAGAAAGGACATCCACACCAAAAACCCATCTGTACGTCACCATCATCAAAGACCAAAGGTAGATAAAACCACAAAGATGGGAAAAAAACAGAGCAGAACAACTGCTAAAAATCAGAGCACCTCTCCTCCTCCAAAGGAACGCAGCCTCTCACCAGCAATGGAACAAAGCTGGATGGAGAATGACTTTGATGAGTTGAGAGAAGAAGGCTTCAGAAGATCAAACTACTCTGAGCTACAGGAGGAAATTCGAACCAATGGCAAAGAACGTAAAAGCTTTGGAAAAAAACTAGATGAATGGATAACTAGAATAACCAATGAAGAAAAGTCCTTAAAGGACCTGATGGAGCTGAAAACCAAGGCACGAGAGCCACGTGACAAATGCAGAAGCCTCAGTAGCCGACGCAATCAACTGGAAGAAAGGGTATCAGTGATGGAAGACAAAATGAATGAAATGAAGCAAGAAGAGAAGTTTAGAGAAAAAAGAATAAAAAGAAATGAACAAAGCCTCCAAGAAATATGGGACTATGTGAAAAGACCAAATCTACATCTGATTGGTGTGCCTGAAAGTGACAGGGAGAATAGAACCAAGTTGGAAAACACTCTGCAGGATATTACCCAGGAGAACTTCCCCAATCTATCAAGGCAGGCCAACATTCAAATTCAGGAAATACAGAGAACACCACAAAGATACTCCTCCAGAAGAGTAACTCCAAGACACATAATTATCAGATTCACCAAAGTTGAAATGAAGGAAAAATGTTAAGGGCAGCCAGAGAGAAAGGTCGGGTTACCCACAAAGGGAAGCCCATCAGACTAACAGCTAATCTCTCAGCAGAAACTCTACTAGCCAGAAGAGAGTGGGGACCAATAGTCAACATTCTTAAAGAAAAGAATTTTCAACACAGAATCTCATATCCAGGCAAACTAAGCTTCAGAAGTGAAGGAGAAATAAAATACTTTACAGACAAGCAAATGCTGAGAGATTTTGTCACCACCAGGCCTGCCCTAAAAGAGCTCCTGAAGGAAGCACTAAACATGGAAAGGAACAACCAGTACCAGCCACTGCAAAAACATGCCAAATTGTAAAGACCATCCAGGCTAGGAAGAAACTGCATCAACTAACGAGCAAAATAACCAGCTAACATCATAATGACAGGATCAAATTCACACATAAAAATATTAACTTTAAATGTAAATGGGCTAAATGCTCCAATTAAAAGACACAGACTGGCAAATCGCATAAAGAGTCAAGACCCATCAGTGTGCTGTATTCAGGAAACCCATCTCACGTGCAGAGACACACATAGGCTCAAAATAAAGGGATGGAGGAAGATCTACCAAGCAAATGGAAAACAAAAAAAGGCAGGGGTTGCAATCCTAGTCTCTGATAAAACAGACTTTAAACCAACAAAGATCAAAAGAGACAAAGAAGGCCATTACATAATGATAAAAGGATCAATTCAACAAGAAGAGCTAACTATCCTAAATATATATGCACCCAATACAGAAGCACCCAGATTCATAAAGCAAGTCCTTAGTGACCTACAAAGAGACTTAGACTCCCACACAATAATAATGGGAGACTTTAACACCCCCCTGTCAACATTAGACAGATCAAATAGACAGAAAGTTAACAAGGATACCCAGGAATTGAACTCAGCTCTGCACCAAGTGGACCTAATAGACATCTACAGAACTCTCCACCCCAAATCAACAGAATATACATTCTTTTCAGCACCACACCACACCTACTCCAAAATTGACCACATAGTTGGAAGTAAAGCACTCCTCAGCAAATGTAAAAGAACAGAAATTATAACAAACTGTCTCTCAGACCACAGTGCAATCAAACTAGAACTCAGGATTAAGAAACTCACTCAAAACTGCTCAACTACATGGAAACTGAACAACCTGCTCCTGAATGACTACTGGGTACACAACGAAATGAAGGCAGAAATAAAGATGTTCTTTGAAACCAACGAGAACAAAGACACAACATACCAGAATCTCTGGGACACATTCAAAGCAGTGTGTAGAGGGAAATTTATAGCACTAAATGCCCACAAGAGAAAGCAGGAAAGATCTAAAATTGACACCCTAACATCACAATTAAAAGAACTAGAGAAGTGAGAGCAAACACATTCAAAACCTAGCAGAAGGCAAGAAATAACTAAGATCAGAGTAGAACTGAAGGAAATAGAGACACAAAAAACTCTTCAACAAATTAATGAATCCAGGAGCTGGTTTTTTGAAAAGATCAACAAAATTGATAGACCACTAGCAAGACTAATAAAGAAGAAAAGAGAGAAGAATCAAATAGACGCAATAAAAAATGATAAAGGGGATATCACCACCGATACCACAGAAATACAAACTACCATCAGAGAATACTATAAACAACTCTATGCAAATAAACTAGACAATCTAGAAGAAATGGATAAATTCCTCAACACATACATCATCCCAAGACTAAACCAGAAAGAAGTTGAATCTCTGAATAGACCAATAACAGGCTCTGAAATTGAGGCAATAATCAATAGCTTACCAACCAAAAAAATTCCAGGACCAGATGGATTCACAGCCGAATTCTACCAGAGGTGCAAAGAGGAGCTGGTACCATTCCTTCTGAAACTATTCCAATCAATAGAAAAAGAGGGAATCCTCCCTAACTCATTTTATGAGGCCAGCATCATCCTGATACCAAAGCCAGGCAGAGACACAACAAAACAAGAGAATTTTAGACCAATATCCTTGATGAACATCGATGCAAAAATCCTCAATAAAGTACTGGCAAACCGAATCCAGCAGCACATGAAAAAGCTTATCCACCATGATCAAGTGGGCTTCATCCCTCGGATGCAAGGCTGGTTCAACATATGCAAATCAATAAATGTAATCCAACATATAAACAGAACAAAGACAAAAACCACATGATTATCTCAATAGATGCAGAAAAGGCCTTTGACAAAATTCAACAACGCTTCATGCTAAAAACTCTCAATAAATTAGGTATTGATGGGACATATCTCAAAATAATAAGAGCTATCTATGACAAACCCACAGCCAATATCATACTGAATGGACAAAAACTGGAAGCATTCCCTTTGAAAACTGGCACAAGACAGGGATGCCCTCTCTCATCACTCCTATTCAACATAGTGTTGGAAGTTCTGGCCACGGCAATCAGGCAGGAGAAGGAAATAAAGAGTATTCAATTAGGAAAAGAGGAAGTCAAATTGTCCCTGTTTGCAGATGACATGACTGTATATCTAGAAAACCCCATCGTCTCAGCCCAAAATCTCCTCAAGCTGATAAGCAACTTCAGCAAAGTCTCAGGACACAAAATCAATGTACAAAAATCACAAGCATTCTTATACACCAATAACAGACAAACAGAGAGCCAAATCATGAGTGAACTCCCATTCATAATTGCTTCAAAGAGAATAAAATACCTAGGAATCCAACTTACAAGGGATGTGAAGGACCTCTTCAAGGAGAACTACAAACCACTGCTCAATGAAATAAAAGAGGATACAAACAAATGGAAGAACATTCCATGCTCATGGGTAGGAAGAATCAATATTTTGAAAATGGCCATACTGCCCAAGGTAATTTATAGATTCAATGCCATCCCCATCAAGCTACCAATGACTTTCTTCACAGAATTGGAAAAAAACTACTTTAAAGTTCGTATGGAACCAAAAAAGAGCCGGCTTCGCCAAGTCAATCCTAAACCAAAAGAACAAAGCTGGAGGCATCACCCTACCTGACTTCAAACTATACTACAAGGCTACAGTAACCAAAACAGCATGGTACTGGTACCAAAACAGAGATATAGATCAATGGAACAGAACAGAGCCCTCAGAAATAATGCCGCATATCTACAACTATCTGATCTTTGACAAACCTGACAAAAACAAGCAATGGGGAAAGGATTCCCTATTTAATAAATGGTGCTGGGAAAACTGGCTAGCCATATGTAGAAAGCTGAAACTCATTCCCTTCCTTATACCTTATACAAAAATTAATTCAAGATGGATTAAAGACTTAAATGTTAGACCTAAAACCATAAAAACCCTAGAAGAAAACCTAGGCAATACCATCCAGGACATAGGCATGGGCAAGGACTTCATGTCTAAAACACAAAAAGCAATGGCAACAAAAGCCAAAATTGACAAATGGGATCTAATTAAACTGAAGAGCTTCTGCACAGCAAAAGAAACTACCATCAGAGTGAACAGGCAACCTAAAAAATGGGAAAAAATTTTTGCAACCTACTCATCTGACAAAGAGCTAATATCCAGAATCTACAATGAACTCAAACAAATTTATGAGAAAAAAACAAACAACCCCATCAAAAAGTGGGCGAAGGATATGAACAGACATTTCTCAAAAGAAGACATTTATGCAGCCAAAAAACACATGAAAAAATGCTCATCATCACTGGCCATCAGAGAAATGCAAATCAAAACCACAATGAGATACCATCTCACAATAGTTAGAATGGCGATCATTAACAAGTCAGGAAACAACAGGTGCTGGAGAGGATGTGGAGAAATAGGAACACTTTCACACTGTTGGTGGAACTGTAAACTAGTTCAACCATTGTGGAAGTCAGTGTGGCGATTCCTCGGGGATCTAGAACTAGAAATACCATTTGACCCAGCAATCCCATTACTGGGTATATACCCAAAGGATTATAAATCATGCTGCTATAAAGACACATGCACACCTATGTTTATTGCGGCTCTATTCACAATAGCAAAGACTTGGAACTAACCTAAATGTCCTACAATGATAGACTGGATTAAGAAAATGTGGCACATATACACCATGGAATACTATGCAGCCATAAAAAGGATGAGTTCATGTCCTTTGTAGGGACATGGATGAAACTGGAAACCATCATTCTCAGCAAACTATCACAAGGACAAAAAACCAAACACTGCATGTTCTCACTCATAGGTGGGAATTGAACAATGAGAGCACATGGACACAGGAAGGGGAGCATCACACACTGGGGACTGTTGTGGGTTGGGGGGAGGGGGGAGGGATAGCATTAGGAGATATACCTAATGCTAAATGACGAGTTAATGGGTGCAGCACACCAACATGGCACATGTATACATATGTAACAAACCTGCACATTGTGCACATGTACCCTAAAACTTAAAGTATAATAATAATAAAATGTGGAAAAAAAAAAGAGTAAATGAAATATGGTCACCTCTAGGAATCATCACAGATCCTTTCATAGTTTCATGGGAAGGTATACAAAGCAGAAAATCATAAAGTTTTGCAGTTCAGGTTGAAGATAATCAGGTTTTATTTTTTCCTTTGAAAGAACATTTTTCTTTTAGGTACAAACTAATTCATAAAGGACTTGTCCTCTCATTATGTCTTCTTCAAGGTATTAAAAGGCAGTATATTGTAACGCTTAAGAGTCCTGGACTCTGGAGCCAGACCTCTTGGGTTTAAACCCTGACCTCACTTCTTACTATCTCTGTGACCTTGGACAAGTTACCAAGCATCTTAGTGCCTCCAAATTTTTTCATTCCTAAAATAAGGATGATGAGCTAATAGTATTGTCTACCTCCTAAGATTCTTCTGAGAATTCAGTGAGTTAACTCTGTGTATCCATAAAACAGTGCAAGGCCTGATATCTAAAAAGTGCTGTTGGCTGTTACAAGAACCACTGAATTAGGAACCAAAGATAGTATTGAGTAACTAGCGCCTTGAAAAAAGGTCAAATCTAAAAATCACTAAAAATTTTACAAAGGAAACTGTAAAACATGCCAAATTATTATTTTTTTTAATGTGGCATTAGGAGTATTGTTGGACTGGGTGTGGTGACTCACACACCTGTAATTCCAGCACTTTGGAAGGCCAAGGTGGGAGAATTGCTTGAGCTCAGGAGTTCTATACCAGCCTGGGCAACACAGTGAGACCTCCTCTCAAAAATACAAAAATTAGCTGGGCATGGTGGCATGCACCTGTAGTCCCAGCTTAAGAGGCTGGGAGGCTGAGGCAGGAGGATCACTTGACCCTGTGAGGTCAAGGTTGAAGTAAGTCATCATTGCACCACTGCACTCTAGCCTTGGGTGACAGACTCAGATCTCGTCCAAAAAAAAAAAGAGTCTTGTTGGAAAGCTCTCAAGAATAGCATTCAGTTTTGACCCAAGAAAATAAATAATGATGCACAAGAGTATATTGTAGGGAAAGATGGTAGAAAACAGTAGTGATTTTCCATCAGATCTCAGAAATATCTGAAAAATGGATTGGGTTTTAAGTGTTTTGAGGATATCTAAAATAAAAGGATATTTTGTGTTTTGAGGCTATCTAAAATATCTAAAATAAAATAAAAAGTGTTTTGAGGATATCTAAACTAGTTAAAATAAAATATCTAAAATAAAATATCTGAAAATGGATTGTGTTTTAAGTGTTTTGAGGATATCTAAAATAAAAGCACTATCAAGGAACATCGCAATCAGCTCACCAGACCACTACAAATCCAGGACTGTGCATGTTCATGATTTACTTAATTAGACAACAGGGAATGAGAATTCTATTTTAAAAAACAGTGAGCACTTCAATGTCCTCTAGATGATGGGTTCTTAATATGGATCCTCACACTGCTAGGTGGGACATGCATAGGCCTCACTGGATCGGAACCCCTAAAAATTACATACAATATTTAATTGTGTATAATTTTTCTTGTGAGAGGATCCATAGCTTTCTTCCAATTTTCATACACGTTCATGACTCAAAAAAGGTTAAGAGCCTTTGTTGTCACTTTAGAGTGAGGTGTAGTGAGCTAAAACCCAAGAAAGTAATCTGTTCCTAACCAATTCCAGGAATGTAATTTGATGTGTTGGAAAGAATGTTGACTTTGCTGTCAATTTTTGACTTGTACTACTCACCAACTATGAGTTCAATGGTGATAGAACCTTTCTAAGCTGCAAATGAAGGAAATATTTTTGCTTCTCACTAGTCAGGATGCTACTCAAGTCATGTGTTCCTAGGTCAAGGATCTAAATTTTTCCTGATTATATTGATTATTAAAAACCTTCTGGCCATGTACAGTGGCTCAGGCCTGTAATCCCAGCACTCTAGGAGGCCGAAGCAGGTGGATGGCTTGAACCCAGGAGTTTGAGACCAGCCTGGGCAACATAGTGAGACCCTGTCTCTACAAAATATACAAAAACTAGCCAGGCACAGTGGCATGTACCTGTGGTCCCAGCTGTTCAGGAAGCTGAGGTAGAAGGATGGCTTGAGCCCAGGAGGTTGAGGCTGCAGTGAGCCATGATGATCATGCCACTACACTCCAGGCTGGGCAACAGAATAAGACCCTGTTTAAAAAAAAAAAAAAAAAAAAAAAAAAAAGGACCTTCTGAAGATTTCACCTTGAGTTATTGAAAAGGAAAAGTCTCCTATTTTTTCTTGCAACTGAATATTTTTTGTAGTTGAGTGACAGTTCAAACTTGCCTTAGACCCCAAGCAATTAAGCTGTCCTGATCACTTATTAAAAAATTAGGAGGATCTTTACTCAATATTACATTTAATAACTCCTTAGAGTTGTGGTCACATGAGATTGCAGACTTCACAGTTACTGGGTGGGAGACTGATACTTTAAAAACAAAATTCCCGATGTTTGTGGGATGGGAAAAGTTGTGGTTGCCATGTTTCTCAAATGGCCCAATCCTCTAGAATCTGTCCTCACCCACAGGCCTGACCCTGAAATCAGTCAACCCTATTATATCTGATTGTGGTTTGTTTTTAGTGTCAGGAGAACTTAATTTATACCAAATAAAGATTATTGAAAACTGGACAGGGTACTACCAGTTCCGTCAACTTTCCTGGCAGTCTCTCCAGATTGCTTAGTTTTTCTGAACCCTGTTTTATGATTCAAGAGCATGCTTCCCCTGCCCTCCTACTGCTGTAGATGAATCATCCACGTCCCTGTCCAAGGCTCCCCTCTCTGCTTCGCACCCATTCCCTCCCTTGACTCTGAGACGGAACCAGAACTGTAATTTTTATACTAGTACAAAAGATGTCACTATAGTAAAAGCTGGAAGAATCAGAGTAAGAAGTCTAATTTATAAATCACACGCAGACTCAAGAAGCCAGATTCATGAATTAGAGACCGAAGTACAGAGAGACTCGTAATGAAGACATAAAGTATGACAAAGTATGACAAAGTATGACTTCTGTTTTTCTGTTTTCTATTATCTGGAGAAGAAACAAAAGCTAATGGAACAGTAAACGCAAAGCCCTGGCTTCAAACTTCCAACCCTCTACATCAGCAATCCGCAACCGTTTTGGTACCAGGGACTGGTTTCACAGATGTGGGGGTGAGGGATGGTTTTGGGATGAAACTGTTTCACCTCAGATCATCAGGCATTAGTTAGATTCTCAAGAGGCGTGCAACCTAGATCCCCTGTGTGCACAGTTCACAATAGGGTTCTCACTCTGGTGAGAACATAATGCCACCGCTGATCAGACAGGAGGCAGTGCTCAGGCTGTAATGTAAGCAAGGGGAGTGTCTGTAAATACAGATGAAGCTTCGTTCTGGCTCGCCTGAGGCTCACCTCCTACTGTGTGTGTGGCCGGGCTCCCAACAGGCCACAGACAGGTGCTGGTTGATGGCCTGGGGCTTGGGGACCCCTGCTCTGTATGATAGCCACTCATTTTACAAGCACTGTCTTTACCACTTTTAGTATATGGCGTGTGTGTGTGTGTTTGTGTGTGTGAGTAATTCCCCTTCTAAATGGCTATTTTCATCCCCAGAATTGGTTGCTGGAATTCCAAGAGGAGCACAGAATTTTGGATATGTGAGTACTGAGAATGCATTACAGGAATAGGGTATTTTCTTGTATAGGTGCTCCTTGATGGAATTACATCTGAATAAACCCATCATAAATTGAAAATACTGTCAGTTGAAAACACACTTAATACACCTAATCCACCGAACATCATAGCTTACCTAACCTACCTTAAACATGCTCAGAACACCTACATTAGCCCACACTTAGGCAAAAGCCTATTTTATAATGAAGTGTTCATATCTCAAGTAAGAGCATCATATCGCATATTGCTAGTCTGGGAAAAGATCAAAACTCAAAATTCAAAGTATGATTATTACAGAATGTGTATCACTTTTGAACCATTGTCAGTTGAACCATCATAATTGAAGGACCATCTGTATACGCAAAGAAATGTTTCATTTTATGCAAATTTTAAGTCTTTTAAAACTTCCTTTATGAAGGGGTTCTTCCTCCCGATTCATGCTGCTTGCTTACGGAAAAGGAAGGAAAATAAGTCAGATTAGATTTCTTCTGATCCATGTGCAGGAGCAGCTACTTAACTGATGAGACCTAGTGCAAAATGAAAACACAGACCCCTTGTTCATAAATTATTAAAAATTTCAGGACATGAACAGCAGACCATTAAACCAAGGGTGAGACCCATCTAAGCACAGGGTCCTGTGTGACTGCACAAGTCACATACCCACAAGGCTGGTCCTACCTGTGGGTATAATCCGGGAATAATTGTGGAGGATGCCATGGTTATGATCAGCAACTTAATACGCCTCATACAATAGAAATAAAAGCAATTGTTATTTCAGTTATTTTAATGAATTGCATTATTTTATTATAAATTTAACTAATTTTAAATTTATTATTTGTTTCCATGACTGCTATAACATAGAATCACAAACTGCCTGGCTTCAAACAACATAAATTTATTCACTCACAGTTCTGGCAGCCAGAAGTCTGACATCAAATTGTGGGCAGGACAATATTCTCACCAGAGCATCTATGATAGGAGGGTTCTCTGTGCCCCCTTCCAGCCCCTGATGGTCCCTGGCATTCCTTGGCTTGTGGCAACATCCCACCAGTCTCTGCCTCCATCCTCATGTGGCCTTCTGCCCTCTCTGTCTACATGTGTCTTCTCCTCTTTTGATAAGGACATCAGTCATTGGATTTAGAGCCTACCCGGATGGTTTCATCTTGAGATCCTTAACTAATTTCATCTGCAAAGATCCTATTTCCAAATAAAGTCTTATTCTGATGTTCTGGGTAGATATGAAATTTTGGGGTGCTACTATTCAAACCCATTATTATGAAATTAGGAAAAGCAAATAAATAGATCTTCTGAAAGAAAAACATTTTAAATAAAGTTCATCTTTTACAAAAGTATCTAGAAAGCATCACGGTTGTCTAAGTAGAAGTAAAAGGAATATTTTTGCCATGTGGATAGCATTTTAAAATCTAATTTTTCTTGCAAAGAACCATAATGATCAATTTATCATAGAATAAGAACAGAAATGGATTTGGACAAAAATCCTGACTAAATCAACTAATCATCAAGTTAATTGCTCTCAGTATTCTTGAATTCAACTTTTATTTCTCCAGTTCAGATTAATAAGCATGCGTTTTTTCTGAAAGCATCCCAGACTTAACCATAAACAAAAACTTTAATCGGCTTTTTTTTTTTAAATAAGATCATTCCGTGGGCTTTCATTTTTGTTTTACATTTAGCTAACCATTTATCACACTTTACAAAAAATTTTAAATGATTCAAGTTGTAGTTTTTAAAAAAGGCTCCAATTCTATGGCAAATGGTGTAACCTGTTTAATTTCTGTGATTTCAGGTTTCCATCATTAACTCTACGGATATGACGTTTATTCAGAATTTCACGGGAGAACAGGTAGAGACATTTTAATATCAAATAAATAAAATCACTCTGGGTTACCAGTAGACTATAATATTCATATCAGTTATTCATCCATTTGACAAATATTTAATGAGCAGCTACTACGTACTGGAAACTGTCCTAGGCACCGGGGATGCAATCATGCATCAGACAGACAGATCCCATCCAGCTCTCAGGCAGCAGTGAGGTGGCAGGGGAGGGAGAGGAAGGGACAGTTTATTAACAAGCAAATAAATGTCCATGATAATTTCAGATTGTGAACCATGATTTAAAGAAAATAAAGCTGAGTGATATAAGACAGGAGGGAAGTGGCAAGGAAGCCTTTGGATGGGGTGATCAGGAGGCCTCTGAGGTGCCAATGTCTGGGCTGAGATGTGAATGACAAGACAGAGCCAACTATACCATCTTATCCAGAACCTTCCAGGCAAGGGAAGGCTAACAAGAAGGCTTTCAAACAAGAACCAGCCAGACATGTGTGAAGAGCAGAGTGAAGGCCACAGTCTCTGTAAGCAAGAGAGATGTAGGAGCTGAGGACGGAGGGGACAGGGGCTACTCATGGGAGACTGGTGGGGGAGGTGGGCGGTGTTTGGGATTAAGAATTTTTTTCTAAGAACAATGGGAAGTGGTTTCGTATTAACATGAATCTTTCAATAGTCTATAAAGGCCTGAAGGTTTTGATGTAAGATATGGGAAGAAGGTCACTGTAAAAAGGGCCTGGACTTCTGCAGCTGACAGATTAGACTTCCAGTTCCCACCGCACCGCTCATGAACTGTGTGAGACCACAGGAAAATCATCTGACCTCTTTGAGCCACTTGGCAAAATAAGAATAAAATGTTTATCTTCCAAGCTCCCTTTAAGAATGAAATAAATCAAGGATTGTAGATTACTTAGAAGATTCCCTGGCACATAACAACTCCTCAAGAAATGTTAATTCCTTTCCATCCCATTTCCTGTCTCCTGCCTTTTGATCAAACAAAAGCCACTAAATTCCCATGTGCCATTAAATCTTCTATAATTTGAGATGCATGCGAATACGTGTGCTTATGATGATCATAAACTATTGCATCTCTATTTCAGTAAGATATAGATTCAGGCCTCCATGTTTGAATGCAGGACAAATTTAAAATAAATGAATTCCTTGTGTTTGTAACTTATATGTGACTATTTACAAACAGAACTACGCACTTAATTTTAAACTAAATATGAACAAAGCTGTGGAAGTAATACATTTAAAACTAACCATGTTAATTAAATTTGAAGAGGAGAGAAAAATCGATTGCCTGGAGAAACAAATTCAGTTCACAACTGGCTTCCTTTAGACGGAAGCACCAACTCAGTATTTAAAGAAATGTGGCTCATACCTGTAATCCCAGGAGTTTGGAAGGCCAAGGCAGGAGGATCACTTGAGGCCTGGAGCTCATGACCAGCCTGGGCAACATAGTGAGACCACTGTCTCTGTTAAAAAAAAAAAAAAAAAAAAATGAAAGAAAAGAAAAAGAAACCAGCAGGTTTTAAAATAAACAAAATGATTTTGACATCTTTTTGCTGTAATTTGGGGCTTTAGTCTATTACTCTGAAATTTTCAGCGAAGCATTTTATATCTCCTGATATTCTTTTGGAAGGTTTGGAGAAATAAGACTGAGATGAGCGGGAAGTTGAATAGATATTGAACTGTTTGAAACAACTATTCCTAAGTGGTGGTAATTAATAAGTGAATGAGAATCTAGCAATGCTTCTCCTTTGCTCAGATCTGTTTACTTTTCATCATTAGAAACTTTTTAAACATTGCTAAATTTAGTCTTTCTATAACTTCCTCTCCTCAATACCACCTAGTTCTGTAATCCTGAACCTCAGAAGGTGATAAATGATGAAATTTCATAAATGATGAAATTCCTCTGAGTAAAGGCCACACACCACCACATCAAGAGAAAGAATTTCACTATCTATGTTTGGAACAGAGAAAAGAGGTGTGAGAATTGAGTTGTTACATGCCACTTGTTAACTCATGTATTCATTTTCTCTGCAAAGAGCATTTGGCACCTGGCACCTACTTTGGTCCAGACACTGCTCAGAAAGTTCAGATAGAACAGCAAACAAAACAGACCAAAGTCTCTGCCTCCTGGGGCGTGTGCTTTCTAAGGGATTGCATGTTCATTAAATGAGGACACGATGGAAGCTACGTCACTTCAAACATTGCATGGCACACTATGGAAGCAAACTGGCAACCTGAAACTATGGGTCAAATCTGGTGAGAGCATAAATCCTGAAAAGATTATAAATCCAAAAACATAGGTTTAAAAAGAAAAACTGCAGCGATAAAATGGGGAGAGGCCAGGTGCGGGGGATCACACCTGTAATCCCAGCACTTTGGGAGGCCGAGTGGGTGGATCACCTGAGGTCAGGAATTCAAGACCAGCCTGGACAACATGGTGAAACCTCATCTCTACTAAAAATAGAAAAATTAGCTGGGCATGGTGGCAGGTACCTGTAATCCCAGTTACTCAGGAGGCTGAGGCAGGAGAATTGCCTGAATCCAGGAGGTGGAGGTTGCAGTGAGCCAAGATCACACCACTGCACTCCAGCCTGGGCAACAGAGCGAGACTTCATCTCAAAAAATAAATAAATAAATAAATAAAAAAGTGGGGAGACTATGGTACACTGTGTACACTCATGGAAAAGATTTAGGAGCTTTTGTTGACTATGAGCACGATACAAATTGATACTGAGATGTGGGTTCCCCCGACATGAAAACTTTTTATGCTTCCTCTGAAGCAGGAAGCGTAAATCTTACCTAACTCTTCTCTTGTCATCAGCGCACTCACAAGTGTCATCTGTGTTTTGGTACCACATGTCATATCTCTAACACAGAGAGTTTGGATGGTGAACCAAGTGACAATATTGTCTTTTGAGACAGGGTCTCTCTCTGTCACCCAGGCTGGAGTGCAGTTGTGTAGTCTCAGATCACTGCAGCCTTGACCTCCCCAGGCTCAGGCGATCCTCCCACTTCAGCCCCACAGTTAGCTGGGACTACACGTGCCACCATGCCCTGCTAATTCTGTTTTATTTTTTGTAGGGATGAGGTCTCACCATATTGCCAGGGTTGGTCTTGAACCCCTGGACTCAAGTGACCCTCTTGCCTGGGCCTCCCAGAATGCTGGGATTATAGACATAAGCCACCACACCCAGCCTGAAAATATTTTCATACAACATCATATGGAATTGGAATTAGATTCCTTCTGTGAGATTCAAGATTGCAGAACTTGGTGGGATTAAGTGCTAGAAGTTATGGAAGAGCCAGATTTAGCAGTGAACATTCCGATAGCTGTGTCCACAGATTAAATGGGCTGATTGTTGAACATCCCCAGAGGATGTCCAAGCAGATGTCAGGGTTATTATGGGGAAAATTATTCACTGGGTCAGGGGTTAGACTAAATGAGGCAAAAAGACCCTGGCCACTTCGAAGAATCTATGAATTTCAATGCAAAAATGTACCACAATGAGATGAATCTTTCAGGAATAATAGAGACATGACTACAAAAATGACTTTTTGGACACAAAATGTCATCTCCTGATTTTCCTTTGCAGATGGCATCTTATTTTGGATATACCGTTGTCGTATCAGATGTTAACAGTGATGGGTAAGTTTATAGACCTCTCTCATATACAATATATTACATTCATCCATAAAGATGTTATGTTTTTCCTTCACAAAATACACCCTTCCTTATTGCCTCAACAAGATAGAGGCTCTCTTGTTCTCAACTTTTTTGGTTCAAGACAAGAAGATGCATCTATTAAATAATTCTCTGTCATCTGATTTTGTCCTTAAGGAGATTTTCCACATCTGCTGCTTCTAGAGGAGGACTATTTTATTTCGTTTTATTTTTAATTTTATAGTCTTCAGCCATTCAAAATTCATAGCCATTGAGAACATTCATCTATCTCTCTTCACTCCTAGAATTTTCCCCTAGCATGTGATACATTCACAAAACATTTGCACATAAACGGATTTTTAAGTTGCTTTAAAAATGTAACAGCCATGGAGAAGACGAAATTGTTATTTTTCAGATTACAGTAGTAAATTACAGTTGAACATGGACCAAACAGCACGGTGAATTTTGGTTGTGCTTAAGTCATTACTTCAAAAATAAATTATGATTAAACACTTCTTTGATTCACTAAAAGGACCTGACAGGTAAATTAATGAATCATTAAATTAAAAACCATTAGATTGAGATGTATCAATTATCCACCCAAAAATATTATTGGATCACACACCACGTTCCAGGCTTTGTTCTTGGTGCCCAGAATACACAGGTGAATAAGACAGATGTGGTCTCTCAGGGATCTCACATTTTCAC
Source organism: Homo sapiens (assembly GCF_000001405.40). Taxonomy (NCBI): domain Eukaryota; kingdom Metazoa; phylum Chordata; class Mammalia; order Primates; family Hominidae; genus Homo; species Homo sapiens. Next base: position 15,654,630 of record NC_000010.11, on the reverse strand, counting down.
AGAAAGCAAATATCTGAAGAATACTTACTTTGTTCTAGGCAACGGGCTAAGCACTTTAGCTATACTTTTGCTAGATATTTTATGTGACCTTTATATAGCTGTCAATGGACTTTGTGTTAATTGTATCATGGCATTTGACTGGAGATAAATTTCATACCTTTTGTACCTGCTGGGAAATATCTTTCTATTATTCTTTCATTGAACATAAACTTCTCAAACATCTACTGTGCACTAACAGGCACTGTTCTAGGTGCAGAGAAATCCATAACTTCATGAAGATTATACTAGAGTTAGGAAGGTTGCTGCTACAGACAAAAATTAAATGAGTAAAGAGTATGTTAGATGGTTATAAGTACTGTGGAGACAACGAAAACAAAAGGACCGAAAGCAACCAAGTAGATGAATATGTAAACAAATTCTGGTACATCCTGATAATTCAGTTTTATTCAGTGCTAAAAAAGAAATGAGCTATCAGGCCATGAAAACACACAGAGGGGCCGGGTGCGGTAGCTCACGCCTGTAATCCCAGCACTTTGGGAGGCTGAGGCGGGTGGATCACCTGAGGTCAGGAGGTCGAGGCCAGCCTGACCAATGTGGTGAAACCATGTCTCTACTAAAAATACAAAAAATTAGCCGGGCATGGTGGTGGGTGCCTGTAATCCCAGCTACTTGAGAGGCTGAGGCAGGATAATCCCTTGAACCCAGGAGGCAGAGGTTGCAGTGAGCCGTGATTGCACCACTGCACTCCAGCCTGGGCAACAGAGCGAGACTCTGTCTCAAACAAGAAAAAAAAAAAAAAGAAAAAAGAAAAGAAAAAACACACAAAGGAACTTTAACTGCATATTGCTAAGTGAAAGATGCCAGTCTGAAAGATCTACATGCTATATGATTCTAATTCTATGACATTCTGGAAGAGGCACCACTATGGCATCAGGAACAAGGCAGTGTTTCCCAGGGGTTCTGATGGAGGGAGTTATGAACAGGTGAAGAACAGGATTTTTAGGGCAGTGAAATGACTCTGCATGATACAGTAATAGTGGATATGTGTCCTTATATATTTGTTAAAACCCATAGAAGGTTTGATACCAAGTGTGAATTCAATGTAAACCATGGCCTTTGGTTGATAATGACGTATGAATGTAGGCTTATTGATTGGAATGAACGTGCCCCTCTGATGTGACGGTGTGGAAGGTTGCAAGTTAGGGAGAGGGTAATGGGAGAACTCTGTACTTTCTGCTCAAATTTGCTTTGAATCTAAACAATCTAAAACTGCTCTAAAAAAAAAGTCTATTAATTAAACTTGTTAAAATAGAGAGGAGAGATAGGGAGTATTTGAAGGGATACAATCCCCAACTGGGTAGATCATGAAGGTCTCAGGGTTAAGAGTCCAGCTAAGGAAACACCTAAGGGAGGTGAGGACCAGCCATGGTGATCTAAGAGGGAGGGAGGGAGGAAGGAGTGTTCCCTGTGGAAGAGCAAAAGGTGCGTATTCCCTGAGGTGGGAGCTCCAGGCATATTCAAGAACCAGCAGAGAGCTGTGGAGCGTGAACCCTGGGGAGCTGCATCATGAAGGTGTGCAGGTCACTGCATTTACTCCAAACTGCCACACACAGTGCAACACAAACTCTGCCATGGACTAGAACAAGTCCATTTCCAAGAAGGCTACAACGTCCTGTGAGCCATGGGGATTCCAGGTGAGCAGTACCAGCTCAGGCTTCGCTGTTATCAGCTGTGCTCTGTCTACCAGCTCTAGATGGTCACAGAGCCTTCTGGAACCCTACTACCATGCACCAGGGGAGGCAGGACAGTGGCTTGGAGGGCAGTGGAATGACTCTGTATGAGCAATAGCAGTGGAGGGAGATTGCAGTGCTTGCTCTCTGCATGTATTTCGAAGTTATAGTTGAATGTCAATCTTATCCTGAAAGCAGTTAATTTAAAAATAAATTGCCTTCATCTTCAGTTATCTAAGTTGTAAAAATAAAGTAGCTATTAGGACGGTCATTCAAGATTTCCAACTTAGGTGGACTGTAATTGTAATCAAAGCCTTTTAGTCATTTGGAAAGAAAATAGCTAAAGAACTTGAAGGCCAGACATAGCATGCCGTCCAGTTTTCATAACGCTTACAAAAACAAGGTTTCTTAAAAAGCTCCAAAATCTCAACATCAGGGAAAAAAAAAAAAAAATCCCACTGTGGCCTTTCAGATATGCACAGACACATTTCTTCCCACTGACGGCCACACAACAAGCACCAGGGGCTCTTCCCCTGCTGCACGGATTCATTCCATGTGTTCTCTTCCACAGGCCACTCCTGTTTTGAATCCTCAGGACTTTGCCCAAGCTTCGCCTTATGCCCTGCAGGGCACCGTCCTTCTTGGAAACATGCGCATTCTAGTCTATAGCAAAGTTTTGTGAGAATGTTTATAGTACTTTTTATTTGTCATGTTAAGGAAAAAACAAATTGTGAGAAAAGGACCTCATTGGCTTCCTGTTAATCGAAACAACATGGTAGTAACAAACACAGAACTGTTATAAAGTAATAATTTCTTCTTTCTTGAAGTTCTTAAAAATTGCTATGCATACTATTTTTTTATTACGTAGTATTTTCTGAATTCTTTAGACTGCATTGAAGGATATTTCCATTAATTTACTAATGCCGTTCATAAAGATAAGGTGCCCACAGATTCTCAGTATATCACTTGCTGTTTTTAATTACTTAGATGCTATGTAAATTCAGGGTCCTATTATATATAACTATGCTCTGGAAGTAATTGAGATTGGCCAAAGAAAGATGCCAGATAGACAACTCAAGTGAAGTCTGAAATTACAACAATGGTGATATATATAATATATTTCATAGGGTTTAAAAAATCACTTGGCTAGGTCATTGCTCATGGTTCAGAAGTGAGGACTTCCCTGCACGCACACATTTATGGGCTTGAACCAGACTCTCCTTTCCCCAAGCTGGAGATAGTTAAGTACATTTGTACACAAGGCTATCTAGTAGACATTGTTGGAAAACATGTATTCTTTGAAAAGTAGGCAACAAAAACAAGGTCCCTAAAAGAGCTCCAAAATCTCAACATCACGAAAAAAAAAAAACTGTCAATAAGTGACCAGATAAGTTAACTGGTGGAAATTTTCCCTGATATTTTTCTGTTAAGAAAAATCTCCAAGTACGATTGAGTGGACTGCAAACATTTAGACTTAACAGTTGTGTGCATGCTGGTTGATGGTTAATACTGTCAAGCCTGTGACAGTTTTGAAAATATAAACAAGCTGGGGAAATTATCTTCAGTTTCGTTATCTCAAGACTTCCAGTACTACAAACTCCGTCAATGTAAGCTTTGTTAGGAATTTCTGAACAAACCTGTTAACAACAAATGGAGATGGTATTTTTCATCTCGTGCCTAAACAAGCAAATATGTTTTTTTTTTCTTACGGCTTTTGAGTGTTATAGTAGTTATACTACTTCAGAAATTCACTGAATTACAATTTAATCCATTGGATACTTTCTGCACTACCATTGTTTCTAACCTCTGCAGGACCAAAAGGAGCCAAATTTAAACAGATTCTTAGTGGTTAACTTGAGAATAATTTACAGAAAAATCCAATTGAAAGGAAACAGCTTAGGGAGCTATATTTTTATGCTAGATTTAGCCCAAGTATGTTCATTCATACAGGATATATCATTATGATTCAATTAGTAGAAAACTCTAAAAAATTAAACCATAAAGAGGTTGTAGATTAATTTCTGTAATGTAATTGAAGTGATGTTAGCTCTTGCCTATCAATTAGGTTGATTTGATATTTACTATATAGTCCACTAATCTGTATTCTTTTAATAAATAACTAAATTCTGAATATTAGTCATGAGCATTAGCATGGAAGTGTACTACTGGGAAAAAAAAAGAAACAGAAAAGTTTCTATGTTAAAGCAATACATGGCTTAGCCTGTTTTTTGTTGCTATAATTGAATACCGGAGACTGGATGATTTGCAAAGAAAAGAAATTTATTTCTTATACTTCTGGAGGCTGGAAGTCCAAGGTCAAGGGGCCGCATCTGATGAGGGCCTTCTTGCTGGTGGGGACCCTCTGCAAAGTCCTGAGGTGGTGCCAGGCATCACATGTTGAGGGGGGCAAGAACATTCCAGCTCTGTATTCCATTCCTCTTCTTATAAATCCACAAGTCCCATTTTGGGGCTCCACCTTGATGGCCTTATCTAATCCTAATTACCTACTAAAAGTTTTACCTCCAAATGCCATTAATATATGCATCTGAAGATTAATTGTCTAATACATGAAATTTGAGGGACACATTAAAAGCATAGTAACTTATGCACACTGTTAGGTTGCCTAAAACATGAACCCAGGTGTGTGATTTTTTTTGCTGCCTTCAGAGTTGTGTCTTTTCCAGAGTGTCATGCAGTTGGAATCATACAGCAGGTAGCCTTTTCAGATTGGCTTCTTTAACTGAGCAATGTATATTTGAGGTTCCTCCATGTCTTTTGATGGCTTGATAGCCCATTTCTTTTCATTGCTGAATATTATTATATGATGTACCATGATTTGCTTATCCAGTCACCTATTGAAGAGTATCTTGGTTGCTTCCAAGTTTGGGCAATTATTCTATGCACATTTTTGTGCATATTTTTGTATGTATATCTGTTTTAAATGCATTTGAGTAACTGCCAAGGAGTGTAATTTTGTGATTGTGTGGTAAGCCTATGTTTAGCATTGTAAGAAACTGCTAGACTGTCTTCCAAAATGGCTGTATCATTTTGTATTCCCATTAGCAATTAATTAGAGTTGTTCTACATCCTTGCCAATGTTTGGTACCATCAGCATTTTGGATTTTAGCCATTCTAAGAGATGTGTAGTGGTATCTCATTGTGGTTTTAATTTGCAATTCCTAACGACATATTATATTGAGTGTCTTCTGATAAGCTTGCTTGCCATCTATCTTTTTTGATGAGGTGTCCATTCAAATCTTTGCCCAATTTTTTTTTTTTTTTTTTGAGACGGAGTCTCACTCTGCCATCTAGTGGTGCGATCTCGGCCCACTGCAACCTCTGCCTCCCGGGTTCAAGCGATTCTCCTGCCTCAGCCTCCAGAGTCACTGGGTACAGTCACCCACCACCATGCCCAGCTAATTTTTGTATTTTTAGTAGAGACAGGCGTTTCACCATATTGGCCAGGCTGGTCTCGAACTCCTGACCTCATGATCTGACCACCTCGGCCTCCCAAAGTGCTGGGATCACAGGCATGAGCCACTGTGACTGGCCTTGCCCAATTTTTAATTGGCTTATTTTCTTATTGTATATCATGTACATGTAATATTGATTGTAACAATATATAGTATATAATATATAATAATGATATATGTTATTGTTACATATTTTTTCCTCATGGGGTTAATTTTTAAGAATTCTTTGTACATTTTACTTTTACAATAAATTAGTTGGAATGCCCCTAGCACCAAGCATGTCTAGACACTCACTCTACCCTCACTCTACTCAGGGACACTTGGTTTGGCTCACAACACCTACACCTGGAGAGCCCACCTTGGGATCCCACCCAGGTCTAATGCCATCTCCTCCATGGAACCTTCCTTAGTTCCCTCCAAGCACCCAGCCTCTCCCTGGTCCAGGATACCCAGCGTTAATTTCATTGTCTCATATTATTTTTCCCCATCTGCCATGTTTATAGTAATATGAGTAGTCATTTAACCTCATTTGTAAGTTATTAGGGAATGAATTGGTTGACCTAATAGTCATCATTGCATTAAAGCCACTTATCAAAGTACCTTAAACATAGGAAGTACACAGGATATCTTTTGATTCAGACTGAAGACAATAGATAAACACCACAAGGCAGGCCAGAAATTGGAGAGAGGGTAGGTTAGAGTGATGTTGGAGTGTCTTGTAGACTGCTCAGATCTTGAAGAAAGTTTCTTGTTCTCAGTAACTGTTCCCACCTCATCCCTGACTTTTGATATAAACTATATCAAAGATGTGTATGAGCCACTTGATATGGAATCTGTTAGTAAGATATATTTTTATACATATTATTGATTTTATGTTATTGTTATTGATATATCTTAATTTTTGTATATTAATATATTGTATATTAATATAGTATTGTTTCTTGACCTTTATATTTATAATATACTCAATTTATATATTTCATACATTAATGTATTAATATACATTATTATATATCATTCATATACATGAATATTATAACTCAATTATATTAATAATATTTTAATCGGTTTGCTTGGCAAACTTCAGCATATTGCCTAATCTACATAGGCATAAAAGTCAAATGCAAATATATGTTCCTGCCCCAGGTCACTCTTGAGATTATTGCATTTGCCAAGACACTGTATCTGCAGACAAACTTTAATAGAGGCCATTAATTTAGATCAAATTATATATTTTTGGTTGGTGTGACTTGTAAAATTTTAAAACAGAAATTATACATTATACCTTTTTAAAAAATCAAATCACTTAGAAGGCTTATAGTGAAGTTTCCCATTCTAGTCCTCTTCCTGCCCATCTGGCTCTGTGAAGGAAATACCTGTAACCACTTTTTTATTTTTTCTCCAGGTGGTTATATCTTTATCTCTAAATAATTTGCTTGAATATCTCTTGAAAATTTTTTAACCTTAAAAATTACATATTAGTTTTTTGCTATAATCTATGTATCCAAAGAATTCAAATTTTTATTTGGGCTGAAAAGTTGTTTGCTACCTTTCTAGCCAGCTTGATATACCTCTCTAATCTCTGTTTTATTTAAATTGAGCTAACAAAAGGAAAGGGAAGGACAAAATTGATTTTAAACATTACTGCATTAAAAACTGAATAATTGGCCGGGCGCGGTGGCTCACGCCTGTAATCCCAGCACTTTGGGAGGCCGAGGCGGGTGGATCATGAGGTCAGGAGATCGAGACCATCCTGGCTAACAAGGTGAAACCCCGTCTCTACTAAAAATACAAAAAATTAGCCGGGCGCGGTGGCGGGCGCCTGTAGTCCCAGCTACTCGGGAGGCTGAGGCAGGAGAATGGCGTGAACCCGGGAAGCGGAGCTTGCAGTGAGCCGAGATTGCGCCACTGCAGTCCGCAGTCCGGCCTGGGCGACAGAGCGAGACTCCGTCTCAAAAAAAAAAAAAAAAAAAAAAAACTGAATAATTTAAATGTATAGTCATATTAATTGCAGACAAACTCTAATCTATTTTTACAAAAAGCTATTTTGTTCTTTCTTGATATGTTTGCTTTGTGCAAGTACAGTTTCTGGAAATGCACTAAGAAGCTGAAAATGGTAAAATATCTGTGGTTTCCTTAAAGTAGCATTTTTAACATAGCTAAAATGTTCAGTGTGATAATTTAACAGCTCTTATTTTCTTACAGCATTCGATTCCATAGATATAACAAAGCAGCGAAAGCAATCTGATGATTGTAAAATAACCCTCAGAAAAGGAAAAATACCAATGGAAATTTACTAGTCTAGTTGATTACAAATAACCCAAAGTGACTCTACTCTCTGCTAGCGTGCTGAGCTGCTTTCTTTGTTCCTTACAGACTGGATGATGTCCTGGTTGGGGCACCTCTCTTTATGGAACGTGAATTTGAGAGCAACCCCAGAGAAGTAGGGCAAATCTACCTGTATTTGCAAGTGAGCTCTCTCCTCTTCAGAGACCCCCAGATCCTCACTGGCACCGAGACGTTTGGGAGATTCGGTAGTGCTATGGCACACTTAGGAGACCTGAACCAAGATGGATACAATGGTAATTTAAACCAAAGCGTGGAAGTCATTTATGTGTCGTCACCACTGCATAAAGGAGACCATGCCTGTTTTAAAGTATTCAGTATGGTGTGTGTGGGTGCAGTTATTATTACTGATTTTTAATAAACTATCACAAATCTCAAGGCAGCTTTACGTTTATACATTTTGACTAATATAAATATTACATGGAAATTTCCCTTCTCACCTTTCTGAAAATTTTTATTTCAAATCTCACAAGATTACAATGCAACACAGAGAAAAATCTGTAACATAATTTGTTTCAATCCTAAATTTAGTATAATTGATCTCCTTGTAGAAGACACATTCGGTTATCAGAAACATCAGAAAAACCTCATTAAGCAATGTCAAAACCATACTACCTCAGAGCTCAGTCTTCAGAGCTCCAGGTAATGGTTTGAGGGTGTTACTACATTTTGAAAACCTCTAAATGAATTTTAAGAGACATTGGAAGGCCACAGGCACTCCAGGTTACAATAAAAATAAGTACATTTAGGTTTCTGCAAACTTCAAAATAACATCTCAAATGTTCAACTTTAAACTTCTCTACTTATAAGTGCTGTTTACTTGCAGAAATATTTCTTATTCAGTTTTAAGAATTAAAACTTTAAAGCCAAAGTTAATACAAAAATCGTCATTGCTCTGACGTCCAAGCAATTTTCTCACATTTGATGTTGGCTATCCTGTAATAGCTCTCAGTAGAGGCAGGAATTATTTTTAAAATTGATGTTTGGATTTGGTGACTTAAAGGTAACTAGGAAACCTTCTATATGTCAAGACAAATAAATACATGTTGATATATTAGCAAGTATCCTGACTTCTGATCAGCCTACATGGGTTATGTACAGGTTATACTGAATTTTAATTGGCACGTAGGCTTCACCTTAGTTTCAATATTTGCAACAAAGTAGTGTTAAACTCGTAGGTTAGGCTTGTAGTTCTTTAGGTTAGAATTTATGAAACCCCTCCAAGTACCCTCTCCTCAGAAAAACACACACCTTCACACAAAAGTTTGCATACATTTTCAGGACCTGAAAATGTATGCATTTTCTTAAATGCACTTCAGGTTCTTTAGTTAAGAACCGAGCATAGTGAATTTCTTGATTGAACTCAAGGAAGTAACAGGAACTTGCTGTAACAAAGTAGCCTTGGAAGTATTCACATCAGATTAGTATTCATTAGTATATTTGGCCAATGTTTCTGTTCTCTTACACATTCTTTGAAAAAAAGTTCTCAGCAACATATGGTTAGTAAATTTTAAAGTATCATAAAACAAAGTACATGTAAAAAGCTTATGGTTCCAGGGAAATTTTTTAAAAGACAAGCTTACCTTTAAGTGACTTGCTACTCTGTAAAGCTGCTCTATTCCTGATCACTCAAGTAAAATAAATAGTGCTAAATTATCTATGGAGCTGTCGTTTAAAATCATATTTTCTTCTATTTGTCTTTTCTCTCAAACCTTTAATAGTATTTTTAAAAGATAAAAGAAGCATTCTAAATGACATAAAGGGAGGTCCTAGCTTCTCTGAGCTTTGGTGTCCTTGAGTATACAAAGTAGGTAAAATCATGTGAAATTCACTGAGAGTAAACAAGGGGATGGGAGTCAAGGCAGTGACTTAGAGAAAGTTAAGAAAGTGTCGAAAGTGTTCCTTTTCGCCTGACACAAGACAATATCTTTATTTTCTACAAAAATCTGAGTTTTTAGATCATCTTTTTTTTTTTTTTTTTTTTTTTTTGAGACAGAGTCTGTCACCCAGGCTAGAGTGCAGTGGCACGATCTCAACTCACTGCTCACCACAACCTCCACCTCCCAGGTTCAAGCAATTCTCTGCCTCAGCCTCCCGAGTAGCTGGGATTACAGGCGCCCGCCACTACGCCAGGCTAATTTTTTGTATTTTTAGTAGAGATGGGGTTTTACTGTGTTAGCCAGGATGGTCTCGATCTCCTGACCTCATGATCCGCCCGCCTCGGCCTCCCAAAGTGCTGGGATTACAGGTGTGAGCCACCGCGCCAGGCCCTGGAGGCTCTTAATAAATATTTGTTGGATGGATAAAAGGCAACAAATAATTTGTCATTGCAGCAGTACTACAGAATTTTCATGGAAAACATTATAAGCCCTTTAGAGTTTCGATACTGCTTTTTGAGTATACTAAACTATTTCTGAACCATTCTTCTGTACTTAAAAAAGAAACGTCTCTATGGCCAAGCACAGTGGCTCATGCCTTTAATCCCAACAGTGTGGGAGGCTGAGGTGGGGTGATCACTTGAGGCCAGGAATTCCAGACCATCCTGGGCAACAAAGCAAGGACCCATTGCTCAAAAAAAAAAAAAAATTCTATATATATATATATATATATATATATATATATATATATATATATATATATATATATATTAGCCTGACATGGTGGTATGCACCTGTAGTCCCAGCTCCTAGAGAAGTTGAGGCAGGAGGATCACTTGAGTCCGGGAGTGTGGGGCTGCGGTGAGCCATGATCCCACCACTGCACTCCAGCTTGGGTGACAGAGTAAGGTCCTGTCTCTAAAATGAACAAATGAAGAATTAAATACATATACACATAAAACATGTTTTATGTCTGTTTTTAGACATTGCCATCGGAGTGCCTTTTGCAGGCAAGGATCAAAGAGGCAAAGTGCTCATTTATAATGGGAACAAAGATGGCTTAAACACCAAGCCTTCCCAAGTTCTGCAAGGAGTGTGGGCCTCACATGCTGTCCCTTCCGGATTTGGCTTTACTTTAAGAGGAGATTCAGACATAGACAAGAATGATTACCCAGGTAAGGTTTTCTTTCTTTTCCCACGTGAGAGTCTACGTCCTGAAATAGAGTCCATTTTCTGAAAAATGCATCATGCAAAGGCAGTTTTCTTCTACAGATGAGGCTGAAGCTTAAGCATGCCACAGGCTTTTTTAATGTACGATTCCAGAGCGACTTTCATGAGAACTTGAAGAAAGACAAACACACGCTTCCTTCTCCTGTCAAGAGACAATGATAGAAAGGCAGAATGGCTTAACAATCTGCATTGTACATAAAACTTGTCAACTTCACAACCCAAGTTTTCATTTGAAACTCCTCAATACCGCGGCTTGCACTGACATAGACAGCTTGCATCCTTTCTGGCGCAAATTATTTTAACCCTTTTGAGCTCATAGCTCCTATTATAGCATGAACCTCAACGTGTCTGTCATGAAGCTCATGTTTTTAAAGCATAAATATTTTCCAGCTTGGCCCATCATGGTGGCTCATGCCTGTAATCTCATCAGTATTTAGGAGGCCGAGGTGGGTGGATCAGTTGAGGTCAGGAGTTCGAGACCAGCCTGGCCAACATGGTAAAACCCCGTCTCTACTAATAATACAAAAATTAGCTGGGCATGGTGATGCATGCCTGTAGTCCCAGTTACTCTAGAGGCTGAGGCACAAGAATCACCTGAACCCGGGAGGCGGAGGCTGCACTGAGCCAAGATCGAGCCACTGAGCTCTAACCTGGGCGACAGAGTGAGACTGTCTCAAAAAATATATGTATCTCTTCCAGCCATATTTTGTGGTTTTCCAAAGATAGACTGAACATTTTAAAGTGGAGAAAAAAAGAACTGGTTCATGATAGGAACCATAACTATTCTTGATTTACCTAATTCACATTGAAGGCACATGGAAAGCCATGAGGCACAGGTAATTTATGTATTGTGCATGCTATATGAAGACATTGATTTGTCTTAAAAGATTATTTCACTGTCCAGGTTTTTTAGCAGAGAACATCAGACTTCTTGGTTTTAGGGTTTGATTTTCACTTTTATGTTTAAGATGGTTTCAATAAATACTTAGAAGTCATTAATAGTTAAATGACAGTTTCAACTACTTATAAAAACCTTGTCTCTTTCCACTAGCCCCTCCCCTGATTGGGAATTTTCCATATGTAGAGCTATTTTTTGGTTTGGGGCAGCATCCAGTAAGCTGACTGCCTAAATATACATCATTAATTTCAGGCCTTTGGCTTTCTTCTCTCCTCTGGGATTAGACAAAAAGGATACCGCAACATATTCTTATAAATTTGCCATAAACCTTTTATGACACTAATGGAGACGTCATAGTGGGCTCAAAGTGGATTTGGTATTATATCGTATACTAATGCTTCCTACCTGTGGCAATTTCAAGAACATCTAGTTAAATTTATTTTCTTAGGTTACATTATGCTAATCAATGGTGGTTAGTTGTTATTACTGGGGAGAGGTTTGTATACATAATATATCCAAATTTAAAATAATTCAAAAATCTAGGTCCCTTATGTAATTCCTACCCCAAAAATGTCAGGGTGATTAATGAAATTCAACTCCTGGGTTGCATTTTAGGTAAACAATTAGAAAGTTACTGCTATTTATTATGGTAGTCATAGGTCTCCTTCCCACCCTTAGTACCAGGAAAATTGACAGAAAGGCTGTGCCTTTGATGAGGCAAAGGAAATAGAGGATGTATCCATCACATAGCCAGTCCTTTGACTTCCTTCCAAGGCTAAACACGTCCCAAATGAGAGCCAGGAAGGACAGAGGCATGAGTCAACTTTTCTCCCCAGGAATACTCCCTTCAGGGAGAAAAAATTTAAAAGCAGCAGGAAGGGAAAAGGAAGCTAAAGTCTGTGCAATGTTAGTAATTGATTACCTCTTTTTTTCTTTTCCTTTTTTTTTCTGAGACGGAGTCTTACTCTGCCCTCAGGCTGGAGTGCAGTGGCACGATCTCAGCCCACTGCAACTTCCACCTCCTGGGTTCAAGCGGTCCTCCTGCCTCAGCCTCCCAAGTAGCTGGGACTACAGGCGTGTGCCACCACACTCAGCTCATTTTTGTAGTTTTAGTAGAGATGGGGTTTTACCATGTTGGCCAAGATGGTCTCAATCTCTTGACCTCGTGATCTGCCCACCTCAGCCTCCCAAAGTGGTGGGATTACAGGTGTGAGCCACCACATCAGCCGATTACCTCTTAATTATGTCTTTTTCTTCCCTTAATCAGAAATATTCACTTGAGGCCATGTGCTAGTCAACAACTTTGCTGAGTCTGATGCAAATTATAATAATCAGACATGTCAGTGCTGTGCGTCTTGTCTCTGAAGTAAATGTTCTTTACTAAGGCAGGCCCGTCAATGCTGCTTGGTTGAATTTATCCCTCAAGAGTCTTGAGGCTTTCAGAGTTCATCCATGCATCTTGGTAGACCTGGGTTCTGGCGCCAATTCTGTCTCTCAAATAGGAATATGGATATCTTGTGATTCATGATTCTATAACATTTTTCCCTGATCCTCATCCTCTAGCAAAAAGAATGCCATTCAAAGAAGCCTTTTTAACTTCATAGCAAGATCCCAGGACCTACAGAGAAGAAACTGCCTTAGAGGCAGGCGACTAGATTCTCTTATTACAGTTGATTGAAAGCTGCAGGCCAAATTCAGGAATCAGACATGTAACTTTCTTCATTTTTCTAGAAATGAATTCCATTTAGCTTTCAAAGCCTCCATTTCCACCATGGTAGAAAATGATGATCTTGCAATCACTTCTATGTTTAGATTTAGTCTTATTTAGGTAAGTATTTATTCAGATTCAAGACCCCTCAGCCAGCCGTGGTAGCATGCACCTGTAGTCCCAGCTACGCAGGCAGCTGAGGCAGGAGAACTGCTTGAACCCAGGAGGCAGAGGTTGCAGTGAGCCGATATCGCGCCACTGCACTCCAGCCTGGGCAACAGGGCGAGACTCCATCTCAGAAAAAAGACTCTTTTTCTCCACCCTGTGTAGCTACCCTCCCAAGGAATGAAATAGAAAGGGGTTTACCTGTTGTCCAGCGACTGGGAAGAGATATCTGGCTCACACCCATCATCTGCTATTATTGGCTTCAGACTAAAGGGTAGCTCAGTCCCTTGTGGCCTTTGGGGCATTGCTCAAGCTTCTGTGGCTCGTTCCATTGTCTGTGTAGTGACCTCTGCTCAAAATTTCCCTGTGTCCTGGGCCCTCTTCGTCCTCTGTTAGCCTCTTTCAGTCCCCTTTTAGCAAATGCTTCTGAGCCACTGTTAGGACTCAGACACGCACAGGCTGGGTATTCAGGTTTCTGTGATTGCCCTCAGGCTTATCTACCTAGATTTTCCTTAGCTGTTGCCAGTTTCCACCCAGGCATCTCATTGCTCCAGCCCCTGATTGAGCTGCAGTCTTGTGATGTTTTGCCTGGGAAGTAACAAAAGCCCTCTTTCCCCTAAAGGTAGTTGGATGGCATGCTTTCTAAACCCTATAGTTCAGTCAGTAAATGCTACGTTCTAGGCCTCCATGACTTGTTTTGTGATTTTTCCAAACCAGTGCTTTTTGGAACTTAAAAAGATAAACAATTTCTTTCACTCTGGGGTCCTGCTTTTTCAAATCAAAAGCACTTTGCCTTTCAAATTATGAAGTAAATACACCTGAGAGCGATAACATCAGCATACCCCAAAATGACCCTGGGTGGCACACACACCCCAATGTGGCTGGGAAATCTGAGCTACGGAATCTGGGAGTGGCCAGCCCAGAGATCCATTCCTTGTCTATGAGGAAGACCTGACACCCAGGTCGGTCCCGTGGAACACGGGCCGTAGAGGGGATTGAGGCCCTTTGTTTTTGGATTAAATGAAGGTTGCCAGGTGGAGGTTGTCAGTGGGAGAGTACTAAGTGAAGATGCTTTATAAACTGCATGCCTTTTGCAAGCGGTTGCAGTTCTCTTGCCCAGCCCTCTACCCCCGGACTCTCTGCCCTGTACGTAGGTCCTCAATGAAACCTCATGTCTCACTTGCTGGCTGTTTTTCAGCCTCTTGAACATGCTGCCATCCCCAATGGAGTTGATAAGGGTTTGCACAACACAGATTACTGTGCCTTCTGAGCTTCACAATCTATTCAACAAATTGACTTCCTCCCTCTGAAATCTATCTCATCATCCTTTATAAACAGGGGTTCGCAACCTTGGTTGCATATTAAAATCACGTGGAAAGCTTTAAAAAATCCGAATGTTCAGGCCACCCTCCAAACCAATTAAATTAGCCACTCTGGGCTGGAGCACAGACTATAGTGACATGTTTAAGTGACCCTGGTGATTCTGGTGTGCAGTACTTTGGGAATGAGTCCTCTAGAGCAGTGTTTCCCTGCTGACTGTGCAAACAGATCACCTGGGTGTGTTTATCAATTGCAGATCCTGATGCAGAGATCAAGCGGGTGGGGTGAGATTCCTCACTTAAGGTGCGGCCCTTACTGCTGGCCTTCACACCACACCATGCAATGAGCTGTAGAGTGCTGAGCTTTTCCACTGAGGCTCTGAGACTCAGTGTGCATGCATGTTATCTGTAGGGCTTGTTAATAAAGCTGAATGCACAGCACCCCTTCAGATACTGTGATGACTGACTCTGAGATGGGGATGAGAGATCTGTGCCTTTACGCAGCACCCCACTTTGAGCAAAACCACCCTAGATTCTTGGCGGCTCACTTCCAGGTCTACAGGAGTCAGATGCGCCTTTTCTCTTTTGCCAAGAACTGGTTTGCTAAGCCCTAGCATTTCATTTATTCTTTACAAGGGTGTCAAACCCACCAGCCGCTGTTCTCTCCAACATTGCCTCTGTGTGGTTCCTGCCATGGTGATGCTTGGGCACATCCCACTCAGGAAGGGGCAGGGGCAACTTTTTTTTTTTTTTAAGAGATAGGAACTTGTGCTGTCACCCAGGCTGGAGTGCAGTGGCACAAATCATAGCTCACTGCAGCCTCAAACTCCTGGGCTCTAGCGATCCTCTTACCTCAGCCTCCTAAGTGGCTGGGACCACAGGAGCAGGCCACCATACCTGGCTAATTTTTTGATTTTTTTTGTAGAGACAGGGTCTCACTATGTTGCCCAGGCTGGTTTCAAACTCCTGGCCTCAAGCGATCCTCCCGCCTCAGGCTCCCAAGAAGTTGGGATTACAGACATGAGCCACTGTGCCCAGGATCCTTTTAAAATTTACTCACAGACATACAGGCGTTCAGCTGCCCTGTTTCAAATTCTCCATTCTAAGTAGATCAGAAACAAAATTCCAAAATTTGTCACTTTACCTGGTTACCTGCAGAATTTATGAGAAAACAAATGCAAAAACAAACATTTAAAATGCTAAATGGAAACAAGTCAAACTACTTGGCATGATTAGGGAATGGAACACCCCTGAGAAGCCACACTTATCAACAGCAATGCTTTCTGATGGGGTTATGATGGGGTTGGTTTTCCCATTCTTGAGATAAACGCTTTCTCCTCATTTCAGGTGACAAAATGCTTAGCAGCTCTGTCTAAAAGAGTGGGCAGTGTTGGCTTCCCCTGGTTTTCACTGTCTGATGTAAACCCTTTTCTGTGCAGCCTATTAAGAAATCTACCTTTAATAATGGCAGGGCATACACATTGCCCCAATCATAGATAGTAGCAAACACTCTTACGTATTCTTAACACAACCTGGCTGCCTTTCACAGACAGAGGAGGGCTGATTGTGATGTTTTATGTGTACTTTTTGTGCATTATAGCTGTTTCATCTTCCAAACTGACTCAAAATAAATTAACACGGCACCTCAAATAACCGAAAACACAGACATATAAGAGGTGGTTTGGTTTATATTTATTCATTGTCAAACGATCTGTTCTGCATGCTACAGATGTTTTGTATATAATCAGGACTAGTTTTTTAGTCTTTGGAGGAAGGAATGTTAGCAAAGTGCAGGCATAGAGTCTGTTATGTTGGTAATGTTTTTTCAATTATACTAATTATTAGTGCTAATAATTAAGAGCCCAAAGCATGCCAGCCACTGCATAGAAGGTAAATACAGTGCTTATTGTAGAATATTATCGTGGAATCTCTCTCATTCACAGATATATATACTCAAACATCTATGTATGTATTTTTTATATGTACTATATATGTATGTACACAGAGTTTATAGGGTAGGATTGGATGACACCTCACTTCTTTTTGGAAAACATCAAGCCAATTTAAAAAAAAAAAAACTTTTAAAGTTAGCCGATGGGCACGGTAGCTCATGCCTGTAATCCCAATACTTTGGCAGGCCAGGGCAGGAGTTTGAAACCAACCTAGGAAATGTGCAAACCTCTTTCTCTACTAAAAATACAAAAAATTGGCCAGGCATGCTGCAGTATGCCTGCAGTTCCAGCTACTTGGGAGTCTGAAGTGGGAGAATCATCTGAGCCTGGGAAGTCTAGGCTATAGTGAGCTAAGATCTCACCACTGCACTCCAGCCTGGACAACAGGAGTGAGACCCTGTCTCAAAAACAAAAAAAAAAAAAAAAAATTTAAAGAGTCTGTGAGAACAGGGGAAGGAAAATCGGATTACCTGAGTTCAGATTCCCATTGAATACTATTAATGTAACAATTGAACAGTGATTTACTTTCAGCTTTTATTTCTTTATCTGGTATGATGGGGCTGATAATACCTACTTCACTGGGTTGTGTGTGCCTGCACTTTCTAGGGCGGGAGAGGATTTTTACAAAATGCTGTCAAATGGCTCAGAATAGAAAAGGAAACCAATTTGCTGATCATGAACAGAATATGAGCTACTTCACCTGACAGTCATGTGGAGCCACATAAGATTTTGAAAAACTGCATTCTAGGATGCTGGAGAGGGACAGCCTCTGTTTAAAATCTGATTTAGAGACAGAGTCTCACTCTATCGCCCAGGTTGGAGTGCAGCGTCACAATCTCGGATCACTGCAAACTCCGCCGCCCAGGTTCAAGGGATTCTCCTGCCTCAGACTCCCAAGTAACTGGGATTATGGGCGTGTGCCACCACGCCCAGCTAATTTTTGTATTTTTCATAGAGATGGGGTTTCACCATGTTGGCCAGGCTGGTCTCGAACTGCTGACCTCAAGTGATCCACCCGCCTTGACCTTCCAAAGTGCTGGTATTACAGGTGTGAGCCACCGTGGCCGACCTCTTTCATTTTTCACTATTGTGCCTTACTGGTTACCAGAAAAGGAACACGCTGCTCCCTCGCTGCCCCTTAGCCATTTAAAAATATTTAAATTCATTTAAATTTGGCCTGAAGTATGGTAATGACAGTGGAAATTGAAAGGAAGGAACTAACACAACAGTGTAAATGAAAAATAGACAAGGCTTGGTAACAACTAGCAGTGATGGAAGGGAGAGGAGGTGGCAGGAGGTAAGGAAGAGGTGGGTGTAAAAGATGACTCAGATTTGAATGCAGTGTACCCAAGAAAAGGATAGTCTCATGGACAGATTGGGGGATTTTGTTATATAATATACAGATTTGATTGCAGAAATAATGTGTGGAATAATTTTCCTAACATCCACCTCAACCACCCAATACGTTTTTAGGCTTTTTACAACAAATATTGTCACTGGCACACACACTACATAGAGTCATAAGTACTTTCATTTCTAGCATCAAAATTCATTTTCTGATTCAAAATGTAGATGTGTTCAGGTCTGTATGTTGGGGTTCATTGGGAAAGTAGGATTGACCAGAGGAGTGTCTTGCATACATTAATTGAGTGAAAGCATTTTAGAGGAGAAACAGCCGTGATAGTCAGGAATCTTGAAATCCAGTGATCTCCTCTAATCCCATTAAACGTGATTGTATAACAATACCATCTGTTAAATGCATAGCTCAGGCATTGGAAGGTGGAGGAGGGGCGGTACAGATTTTGTTGAGGGGCAGAAATCCTACAGGCAAGAAAAACTGGAGGAAAACATGGGCAGAAGGCCAAGACTATCATTGTCTCATCCGGGCCCCTACTATATAATTATATCATGAAGCCATTTCAGACAATTACACTCAATGAAATAAAATAACCCATTATCTTTTCAATGAGTGCTCTGTGTGTGTGTGTGTGTGTGTGTGTGTGTGTGTGTGTGTAGTATAAGCAAACAAGTAACACAGAACCTGCGCATGGAAGGAGGCTTTATCCAAAGGGAATACTGCATTTCAATTAAACTTTAAGCTCCTTGAAATTGTTAATTTGAAGTTCAGTTGAACTAGGTTCAAACATTATAGTCAAAGTTTATTTTTACTTCTCAAACTGCTACTCAAGTTTTGTGTGAAAAGCCAAGCATTATGTTTTTATTGACTAAGATATTCATAGTTTCATGATAAACACATTAGAAATTAGAATATTAAATTTTGGGTAAAAATATCTCATGCATGTAGATCAAATTGAAGTAATTCAACTGGGAGAGCTCTTGGACTTCAATTGAGGAGTGTTGTCAAGTAGAAATGAAAATGAGTGGAAAGTGAAAAGGCCTGAGTTCTAGAACCAGTTCTCCCACGTGTGATTTTAGTAATTCCACCTCTCTGGGTCTTGCCTTCCTTATCAAGAAGTGACAAAGGTGCATGGATTACTCCTCCCAGGGTCTTTTTAATTCTACACTTCTCTGATACTATCATCCCAGATCTAGATTTCCTGCCTTTACACAGTGCTCTGTAATATTGGGTAGATTATTAAGGATCTATCTTTAAAAAGATTTAGTGAAGGCCGGGCGCAGTGGCTTATGCCTATAATCCCAGCACTTTTGGAGGTTGAGGCGGGCAGATCATGAAGTCAAGAGATCAAGACCATCCTGGCCAACATGGTGAAACCCTGTCTCTACTAAAAATACAAAAATTAGCTGGGCATGGTAGCACGTGCCTGTAGTCCCAGCTACTCAGGAGACTGAGGCAGGAGAATCTCTTGAACCTGGGAAGCGGAGGTTACAGTGAACCGAGATTGCACCACTGCAGTCCAGCCTGGTGACAGAGCAAAACTCCATCTCCAAAAAAAAAAAAAAAAAAAAAGAAAGAAAGAAAGAAAAAATATTTAGTGAAATTATTTTTTCTCAATGTTTTCTTGGAAATACTTTTGGACTCACAGAAAAGTTGCAAAAAAATAGTAGACCCTTATAAACTCTTCCCCCAGCTCCCCCTCATGATAAACATCTTATGTAAACATAGTACAATGAGCTATTAATGAATCAATGGACCTATTCGAAATTCTATCGAATTTCACCATTTGTCCCTCTACAGTTCTTATTTCTAGTCCCATGATTCAATCTGGGATCCCATGTTGCATTTAGTTATATTTCCTTACTCTCTTCCAATCTGTGACTGATGATGCTGACGGTAGAATATGTGCTGATTATATGATATTCAAGAGATTGTTATCCATATACCCAGCAAGTATGTGTTGAGTGACTTCCATGTGCCTGGCACTATGCTAGATGTTGAGGATACAGCACTGAATTAAACAAAGATCCTGCTCTCACGGGCCCGAATTAAATCAAATTCTAGCTCTAACACTGGCTGGATGTGTAACCTTACCCAGTTAATCAACTTTCTGGAGTCTCAGTTTTCTCAGTGGTAAAACATGTATAATAATACCTAATAATAGCTTTTTCCTTTAAAGTTGGGTTTTGGAGGTTCAGCTAGATAATATGTATAAATCAGTTAATGGTGTGAATAGCATCTAGTAGCAGCCACTAAATATTAGTTATAAATGACATATTGTTACTATATGGGCATAACGCATGCCTTTAAGGAGCAATGTAATTGTGGAGATAAAACATCCAACAATGAACTGTAATATAAGCAGCAGATGAGAAGAGCTTTAAGAGGGTACAAAATAATGAAACAGTTAAAAAGAGAGAGTGTTTCTTGCTAAGGTGATAAGAGAAAGTTTCCTAAGGGAGATAAGTAGGATCCTGAGATAGGTATGACTGTGAGTGGTTGTAGGGAGAAAGCATCTCAGAAGGGGAACACAGCATGAGCAAAGACCCTGAGATTACATGTGTCAAGTGTGTTCTTGCCACAGTCATAAAAAGCAAGACTTCGCAGAACAGGGAGCATTGAATCAGGGAACAGAAGGACTAGATGAGAAAACTGCCGAAGGCCATATGTATTCAACGTCTTTTGGTCATCATCTGACCCAGATAATTTCCTACTTTTGACAACCCTTTGTATTATCAAGGGATACAACATTGTGAATTAATGATTTGACTTAGTGATATATGAGTGAGGGGGGGAAAAGGGATCCACAGATTTCTAGGACTATGTAATATAGGTAGAATTTAAAAGGAATTTGGTGGCTGGGCATGGTGGCTCGTGCCTGTAATCTCAGCACTTTGGAAGGCTGAGGTGGGCAGATCACCTGAGATCAGGAGCTCAAGACCCCTCTGGCCAACATGGTAAAACCCTGTCTCTACTAAAAATACAAAAATTAGCCAGGTGTGGAGGTGCGCACCTGTCATCCCAGCTACTTGGGAACTTGCTTGAACCTGAGAGGCGGAGGTTGCAGTGAGCTGAGATTGTGTGCTGCTGCGCTCCAGCCTGGGTGACAGAGCAAGAATTCATCTCAAAAAAATAAATAAAAATAAAAGGAATTTGGCATAAAATAATTAATGTTGACTGTTTCAGTTTTATGTAATGAAAATGTTGCCTAGTTTGTCTTTGTTAGTATGTACTGCAGAATTTTTTAACCATACCTTCTTTATTTTTTTGATCATGCTAAAAAGGAAATTCTATATATAAGTTAAAGGAAATGCTTCCTAGTTTTTTCAAAAAGGCAATTTTGGAAGTGAATTGGTCCAAAATGATGGAAGCATACATGGAGAGAGGTAAAAATGAAAGGTGGACTGGGGACAGTTAACAAAGAGCCTTGAATAGCATGTTTAGCAATTAGTTATTAGGAAAGTAATGGAAAAAGATATATGCTCTGTATTCCAAAGTGGTGCTTTAAGGACCTCATTCCTTAGCAATGAGCAGAATGAGTAATAATGAAAAAGAAACATGAAATCAAAAGTCATTAAAGTATCCCAGGGGAGGATAATGAGATGAACCACGTGATGTAGCAGCAAGGCCAGGGCAGCTGGAGGTGTCTGGAGATTAAAAGCCTAAAGAATGAGGACCAGCAGTGACTGTCCAGCCTCCCATCCTTCATAAGACAGCCTGGGAGCTGCTGTGCACACGTCTCAAGAGATCCCACTGTCTATATATCGTTAACCTTGAAATAGGCCTTTATATTCAGAGGTGTGTTAAAAATTGGTTAACAACCAGCTCCTCAGGGAGAAAAAAAAAAGCCCAGATTTGTACCACTTACCAATTTCCATGGTATAAATATCCTCACCATGATTGATTTCAAGCTGTAGTGACCTTGGTGTGATAAGAGTGCTACAATTGCTATCTGTATCACTGAATGAACCTGAAATACCGACCTGCTTCTGCCCAGTCACTTACAAATACACTAATCTCCTGTTTGTGGGATGTCTTTCCAAGAGGGAATTACTATTTTCAGAAATTCACAGATCCAGGTTGAGAATGACTGTTGTCTACACTCACAGCTGCATTTATGAAAAGACCAAAACAAAGATTAGCTATAGTCATTTTCAAGTCCGATAACATAATATCTGACTTTTTTCCAGCTTTAGATTAAGATATGAAAATGTAGGAACTGTCATCTCTCTCAAACAAATATTTCTATTTTGCTTAGTGTGTTGTGAAAACCTCTGAGTACCTCCATCTGCCTTATTTCTGACTCCCCTTTGAAGAGGCAATCCTATTGAAAAAGTGGACCTTATCGACACAGCTATGTCAATGACCTTAAATGTGAAGCCAGGACTCCCTCACACACCTGAACTCCATCCCTCCCCATGCTTGAATCAGGTTCTCAGATAAAGCCTTTCACAAGTAATAAATCCTTATTATTTCACAAATAATATAGCCTTCAGAATCCAGATTCTGTCCCAAAGCAGGTTTAAATCATATCCCACTCATAGGTAGTAAATACAGCAAATTTCCCTCGCCAGATACAAGAGATCTAACTATATGGCTATTAGATTTTCTATGCCACAAATCATTTGTCAGTTTAAGTTTGAACTAACTTCCTTCCAAATAATCAGAGACTGGGTTCTTTCTGAAACCCAGTGTATATGATAGGATATTATTTATACTTGATCTTGCTTATAAAGATACAGTTAATAGAAATTTGCTGCTTAGCCATGGCTTTTTTTGGGGGGGGTGGGGCTAGAAGTCCAATGTGCTATCAATTGTGCCATAGAGTCCTCTTGGCCATGGCTTTTTTTTTTTTTTCTTAATATACTTTAAGTTCTGGGATACATGTGCAGAACATGCAGGTTTATTACATAGGCATGCCCGTGCCATGGTGATTTGCTGCACCCATCAACCCGTCATCTACATTAAGTATTTCTCCTAATGCTATCCCTTCCCTAGCCTCCCACCCCTCAACAGGACCCGGTATGTGATGTTCCTGTCTCTGTGTCCATGTGTTCTCATTGTTCAACTCCCACTTTTGAGTGAGAACATGTGGTGTTTGGTTTTCTGTTCCTGTGTTAGTTTGCTAGGAATGATGACTTCCAGCTTCATCCATGTCCCCGCAAAGGACATGAACTCATCCTTTTTTATGGCTGCATGGTATTCCATGGTGTATATGCGTCACATTTTCTTTATCCAGTCTATCATTGATAGGCTTTTGGGTTGGTTCCAAGTCTTTGCTATTGTGAATAGTGCTGCAATAAACATATGTGTGCATGTGTCTTTATAGTAGAATGATTTATAATCCTTTGGGTATGTACCCAGTAAAAGGATTGCTGGCTCAAATGGTATTTCTGGTTCTAGATCCTTGAGGAATCGCCACACTGTCTTCCACAATGGTTGAACTAATTTACACTCCCACCAACAGTGTAAAAGCATTCCTATTTCTCCACATCCTCTCCAGCATAATATCCAGAATCTATAAGGAACTTAAATAAATTTACAAGGAAAAAACAAACAACCCCATCAAAAAGTGCATGAAGGATATGAACAGACACTTCTCAAAAGAAGACATTTATGCAGCCAACAAACGTATGAAAAAAAGCTCAGCATCACAGATCATTAGAGAAATGCCATTCAATACCATAATGAGATACCATCTGTTGCCAGTTAGAATGGTGATCATTAAAAAGTCAGGCTTTTTTTAAAAAATAGGATATAAGGAATGGAGTATGAATTAGTTGGAGTCAATTTCTCCTGTGTTTAGAACCTCATATTATTTCTTCCCTCCCTCTGCATGTTTTTTAATATGTCACTTTGAATTTACTAATATGTAAATCGGAAGCCATATTTTCAGGTCATTCACCTGATGCATCCCTTCTGCCTCAGAGTCTCTCTGTGCCCTGGCCATTTTCCCAGGAGTTCATTTCCCACTTAGACACTCAGTCAAATGTCACTTCCTCAGGAAGCCTTCCCTGAACTGTTGTCCTTCCCCTGAAAACAATGATCTCAGATGGAAATTACACATGTGTGCAATTCTTTGATAAATGTCCTTTCTGCTCCACTAAACTGGACACTGTATTAGTTGAGACTGGGAGTGGATTTGGCGTTACTCACTGCGAAATCCTAATGCCCAAGGCAGCGGCTGGCACAAAAGGCAACTTGTCGATATTTGTTAAGTGAATAATTGAATGAATGAATATGAATAAATGAATAAATAAACCAGCATCCTTCCAGCTGCACACCTTGTATATAAATTGTTGCTCATATCTTTAACTTGCCACTGTGTTTCAACTCTACTTAAAATCCAGTCAACTATTTTATGTTTGTGCAGAATGAGAATGGAAATATAAGTAGAGATGATGATGATGCCCTTTAAAATAAATGTTGGCATCTGTCTCCTGTTACTCAAAGTAGCAGACTGATTCTTGGCTAGCGTTTAACCCTTGACCCTAGTTCTGCCTTCACCAGTGTCAATCGAGAAAAATGACAAGTCTCAATTATTTTAAGAGGTTTATTTGCCAAACTTAAGGATGCATTCCTGGAGACAGGTCTGTGCCTTTCTCCAAACTTGTTTTTTTGTTTATTTGTTTTGTTTTTTATTGTTGTTTGTTTAAGTCTTGCTCTGTCACCAAGACTGGGGTGCAGTGGCACAATCTTGGCTCACTGCAACCTCTGCTTCCCGGGTTCAAGAGATTCTCTCTTCCTCAGCCTCCCAAGTAGCTGGGATTATAGGTGCATGCCAGCACACCCAACTAATTTTTATATTTTTAGTAGAGATGGGGTTTTGCCATGTTGGCCAGGTTGATCTCAAACTCCTGACCTCAAGTGATCCACCTGCCTTGGCCTCCCATAGTGCTGGGATTCCAGGCATGAGCCACCATGCCCAGCCTCTGAAGACAATTTTAAGGGCTCCAAATTTAAAGGGGAAAGGGCAGAATATTGAGAAATACACAATTTTCATTTAAGAGGAGGGTAGGGAAAAATAATCATGCCTGCCTTTGTCTGGCTCAGTGAATCTGCATTTTTCTTTTACATAAGATGACATAGACAAGTGGGGCAGAGGAAAAATGCAGGGAGCCTGCCTTTCATATAAGATAACATAGATGAAATGGGGCAGAGGGGGTGACATAGATGAAATGGGCAGTGGGGGTGACTGCACTTATAAAGATATGCTATCAATTTACATTGCCGTGGTGAAATATTAACAGAAACCCCCTAGAGTGAAGATCTTGCAGCTCACTAGGAATTTCCTTGTGGGCAAAATATGGGGGAGGCATGTAACTTTTCATCTCGTTCAGGAACCAAAAACGGAGAGGCAGGTTTGTGTGACCCAGTTCCTAGCTAGACTTCTCCCTTTGGCTTAATGAGTTTGGGGTCCCAAGATTTAATTTCCTTTCTCACTGGGCCTTCAGATGCCAGCTGCTCTTGGCTGTGAGACCAGGAGTACGAGTAGGCAGTGTGATGGAAAAAGCGCCGTGAGTAGGGGTACCTAAATTCTCTTTTGTTACCAGCTCTGCAGCCTGGGCCGCACTTGCAGCTCCTTAACCTTAGCCTATCCAGCCACAAAAGAAAGGTGATCAGACCAATGCCCACCACTCAGGATTGTTGTAGAGACAATTTGCATGCTGTAAAGTACTCGCACAGTTAATTGTTCCTTTTTAATTTTTAAATTTTTTGATACATAATATTTGTAGTTATGGGGTACATGAGATATTTTGATACACACAACAAATGTGTCATGAGCAAGTCAAGGTATTAAGGATATCCATCACCTTGAGCACATCAATTGTTCTTATTTTTAAACACCACTGGCCAAACGGAGGTAGTGTTACTGGAAAGGGGTCCTGATCCAGACCCCAAGAGAGGGTTCTTGGATCTTATGCAAGAAGTAGAGGTGAATCTGGCCGGGCGCGGTGGCTCACACCTGTAATCCCAGCACTTTGGGAGGCCAAGGCGAGCAGATCATGAGGTCAGGAGATCAAGACCATCCTGGCTGACGAGGTGAAACCCTGTCTCTACTAAAAATATAAAAAATTAGCCAGGCGTGGTGGTGGGCGCCTGTAGTCCCAGCTACTCGGGAGGCTGAGGCAGGAGAATGGCGTGAACCCAGGAGGCGGAGCTTGCAGTGAGCAGAGATCGGCCACTGCATTCCAGCCTGCTAGACAGAGCGAGACTCCATCTCAAAAAAAAAAAAAAAAAAAAAAAAAAACCAAAATAAATTAGAGGTGAATCCATAAAGTGAAAGGAAGTTTATTAAGAAAGTAAGATAATAAAGAATGGCTGCCATAGGCAGAGCGGCAGCATATGGGCCGCTCAGCTGCTTATACTTACTGTTAACTTCTTGATTATATGCTAAACAAGGGGTGGATTATTCGTAAGTTTTCTGCGAAAGGAGTGGGTAATTCCGAGAACTGAGGGTTCCTCCCGTTTGTAGACCATATAGGGTAATTTTCTTACGTTGTCATGGCATTTGCAAACTGTCATAGGGCTGGTGAGAGTGTCTTTTAGTATGCTAATGCATTCATTATAATTAGCATATAATGAGCAGTGAGCAGGACCAGAGGTCACTCCCGTCACCATCTCGGTTTTGGTGGTTTTGACCGACTTCTTTACTGCATCCTGTTTTATCAGCAAGGTCTTTGTGACCTGTATCTTGTGCTGACCTCCCATCTCATCCTGTGACTCAGAATGACTAACCTGGGAATGCAGCCCAGTGGATCTCAGCCTTATTTTACCCAGCCCCTATTCAAGATGGAGTTGCTCTGGTTCAAATGCCTCTGACAGTAGGAGGCATAAAAACAACCTCCAAGGCTGAGGGTCCAGGTTCTGCACCCCAGACCCAGGCCTGTGCCATCAGATGTTGACTTGGGGAATCTCTGTCTCAAACCTCTTCTGGGATGACAGATGGGAGGTTTTCAAAATAACTAATACAGCAACAAAGGCCTCTTTCATCTCTTTTGTCCTTCCTGTTTGCAAGCATTGTTCATGTGATGCTCTTCTTTCTATATGCCAACCCTTTTAGATTTTCTTACTGACGTTTTCCTGCAATTACATTAATAGCTGGTTACCTGAAAACTATCAACCCTAAGAGAAGTTCACGAGATAGCCAGCGTAAGCCAGAAAGCTGGCGGTCCAACCAGACCACAGACTAAAGAGTGAAGCAGGTGAAGCTTGTCTGGGGGATGCTCAGCCCCTCTCATCCTGTTACCTCTCTTTTCTGTGCCTGAGGGCTGCTGCATACTAATTGCAGAAACTTACACTCTTTCCTCTTCTCAAACATGTGAAAGAGAAGGATCTTATCAGAATGTGAGTGATCCAGTGAAAGTAGGTCCCACCCAGGGACTTCAATTCAGTGGATCCTGGCCTGTGTTTGTAATATGACCCCTCAGTGAGTTGATTGATAGACTCTAAGTAGCTGGAAGGCAGGGGAGTGTCTGTTTTTAAAGCCCCCTGCTGAATCCTGGGCAGTTAGGGTGGGACCTGGCTCATGCTGGAAGTTCAATAATGAGTTCTTAGATGAGGGTGTCCAGTATAGGGAACCACCTGTGTACCTGTTCTTCCCTTCCTCTCCCATCTCCCTTGCAACTCCGTCAATCGCAAGGCTGCCATCACACATCACAGACTGGAGGGCTCAAACAGGGATACATTTCCTACCAGTTCTCTAGGCTGCAAGTCCAAGATCAAGGCGTCAGCAGGGTTGGTTTCCTCTAAGCCTCTCTCTTTGGCTTGTAGATGGTCATCTTCTCCCTACATCTTCATGTTGACTTCTCTCTGTGCATATGTCTGTGTCTTAGCTTCCTCTTCTTATAAGGACACTGGTCCTATTGGATTAGGGCCCACCCAGATGATCTCATTTTAAACTAATTACCTCTTTAAAGACCCTACTGAAGCAGTGTTTTTGTCTGGGGTAAATACCTGAGGTTCATTGTTTCACGACAAGGGAATCGAGGGTGCAGATATACACAAGAACTGGGTTTAGGAGCAGCGATTTGATTGGCAAAAGAAAGAGAAAGGAGGCCGGGTGCAGTGGCTCATGTCTGTAATCCCAGCACTTTGGGAGGCCAAGGTGGGAGGATTACGAGATCAGGAGTTCGAGACAAGCCTGGCCAAAATGGTGAAACCCTGTGTCTACTGAAAACACAAAAATTAGCCAGGCATGGTGGTGAGTGCCTATAATCCCAGCTGCTCAGGAGGCTAAGGCAGGAGAATTGCTTGAACCCGGGAGGAGAGGTTGCAGTGAGCCATTGCACTCCAGCCTGGGCAATAGAGTGAGACTGTCTCCAAAAAAGAGAAAGAAAAGAAAAGAAAAGAAAGAACATCTCTCTCTCCAGAGTGCACTGGATTTTATAGACAGGTTTGAGGAGGCAGTGTCTGATTTACATAGGGCCCAAAGATTGGTTGGACCAGGTGTGACATTTATACAACATGCAAGGAAGCTGGCTGCCCCACCCTAATCTTATCATGCAAATGGAGTTTTTGCCTGGCAGGTGCCATGTTGCCTGTTTCTTCCTGTATACCTGGCTGGCAAAGATGGAGCCACCATTTTGAACATGGCTAGTCCCAGGTAGCCTTTTCTTATTGGCACAGATGCCAGCATTCACCCATGCAATCTTCCAGCTTGCTTGTCTATGTCTGCAGCTCGATTTTATAGGCTGCTCTTTGCTAGAAAAGAAAATGATTTGGGGGCTGCTTTTCATTAAAAGGAAAACCTTACTGAGGACTCCCGTACCCTCATATCTGCCTAAATAATTTCTTCTTAACTCCTATATCACTATCTCCTAATATAGTCACATTCTGAGGTGCAGGCTAATACAGTCACATTCTGAGGTGCTGGCAGTTAGGACTTCAACATAGGACTTTTTTGGGGGGACACAATTCTGCCTAAAACACTTAGCGAAATCATCAAGTCCCATTAGGTTTTTATCAATAGGAGTTTATCTGTCAGGCTAGGTGTCAGGGAAGCATCTTTGTGAGCTATCACGCTCTTCTGGAGACTGTGAAACACTTTCCAATAGGCAGCTACATACAAGTGACACTGGTACTGTAGAAATAAACCTTCCTCCAGGGCTTTCAGCAATTGCACAGACGGCACACATGTGATTCAGTGTGGCCCATGAAGAGGATAAAGTTAAATGCCTTTGATACGGTGACACGAAATACAACAAGTTTAGGATCAAACAGTTGAAGGTGGAAGGATCATTCTTGTAGCCACAGGATGCTAATAATATACAGAAAACTATTTTCATAAGGCAGACTCATCATTTGATATTCTGCTGTTATTTTTTGTGGGATTGTTTTAAAAGGAAAACAATCCCCCAGTAAATTAGAATGTTGCAACCTAATACCATGTTCCAACTCATAAATGTTTTTCTTCAGAGTTCATTTGGAAGCATTTCAGACAGATTGTTAGGATTATTACTTTCTGGGATAAAATCATGCTTTTTTTTTTTCAAACATTTCTTCCTCAACTCATAACCTTCCTCTCAGTAATATTTTGCATGTTGCAATAAAAAAGCAAGGCAGACAGGCAACTTCTATTTTTAGATTAACACGTTTGCCAAAGTCAAGGAGACTTATCTAAATGCTGGATTCCCACAGACATGAGCTGTGTTTGCAATGCCAGACACTTAAGCCAATTTCATAGCCCACTCACAAGTGGACATTGCCAGATGTATCCGCCATCTGTAACCCCACCATTGGACACATTATCTCGAATTCTCTTATTTCTCTTAATATCATCATTGTATGAAAGTGAGCCAACCTTGGGTTGGTTTATCTAAACAACTATACTTGATGGCCTTAGTTCGTCTTTAAAATATTTGGGTGCTGTGGGAAGAGGATTGGCAGGATGGGACCTGGGCAGTGATGGGCAGTTCCTGGAGGAGATTCTGTGAGCTGTGGGCAGTTGTATTGCCAAGACAGGAGTCAGGCGTCTGTAGAGCTGAGTTATGAAGGCGAATGGGAAGAAGTCCAGTCTGGTGAAGCCAGGGAGAAAGCCAGAAACTGGCTGTCTCTCAGTGGAGGCACAAGGAGTCCCTAAATCTGCAGGAACACAGCTGAGTCCAAAAGCAAAGCAGAGTCCTGGATTGTACATCAAAGTGCCCAGAATGCAGTCATCAGACTCCAACAAATGCTACTGAGCTCTTGCCCTTCTCATCTAGAGAAACTTAAAGACCACCAGAGATTCAGCAATGAAGATTGACTTGTTCAATGTCATTTAGAAGCCAGTAGCAAAGTGAACTGGAGTTGAGAATTGCTGATTTTTCAGCTGCCACTTGGTAATTTTGCACCTGACATACAACACCGTGTTTCAAAGAAGTCTTCAAAGGTTTTAGAGAGATTCAAAGAGAGACAACGGGCAAGTCAAAATTGGCCTGTTGATGCACAAACTGCTGTACACCGATGTTGACAGTGACTTTGCAAAAACTGGAAAAACCTCAGGGTTCCCTAAGCCAGGGATGGATGAATAAACTGTGGGCCATCTACACAGTGGAATACTACTCAGCAGTAAAAAAATGAACTCCTGGAACACACAACATTGTGGATGAATCTCAAATGCACCGAGCTGAGTGCAAGAAGCTAGACCCAAAAGGCTGTATGGCTCCATTTATATGACGTTCTGGAAAATAGATTAGTGGAGTCCAGGGGTTAGGAGACAGGTCAGGCTTGGCTACAAAACAGCATGGGTGACATTTGGGCATGATGGGACTGTTCTCTGTCTTGTTGTGGAAGTGGTTACAGGTCTGGGTGCATTTATCAAAGCTCTTAGCTCTGCTTACTAAAAAGGATGAAATTTATCATAATAAAATGTATCTTTATTTATTTATTTTTATATCTATTTATTTATTGAGATGGAGTCTCACTCTGCCACCCTGGCTGGAGTGCAGTGCTGCAGTCTCGGCTCACTGCAACCTCCATCTCCTGGGTTCAAGCGATTCCCCTGCCTCAGCCTCCTGAGTAGCTGGGATTAAAGGCAACTGCCACCACACCAGGCTAATTTTTGTATTTTTTGTAGAGATGGGGTTTTGCACTGTTGGTCAGGCAGGTCTTGAACTCCTGACCTCAAGTGATCCACCCACCTCAGCCTTTCAAAGTGCTGGGATTACAGGCGTGAGCTACTATGCCTGGCCATATCTTTAATTTTTTTTAAAGGCTTAAGGAGAGAATAAAAACAGCATGTAGTTGTGCACCTAGAAGGCAGTGTAAAAAGGAGCCCAGTGTGGGTTCAGGAGCCAGACTGCCTGGGTTTAAACTTTGGTCTTGTGACTTTACTGTATTCGGGCTCTGTACCTCATTTTTCTCATTCTAAGATGGGGATAATAAAAGTATCTTTCTCATAGGATTGTTGTAGCACTTAAAGGAGGCAATTATATTTAAAATGTTTAGAATATTAGCTTTTCTTTGATCTATCTTTACACAACTGTCCAACATATCCTCAGGATAAATTCCTAGAAGTAGAAACTAGGTCAGCGGTACACATAGTCATACATATCAACAAACTGCCTTCCATGAAAATAATGCTAATTTATACTCCCTCAAACAGCCTATAAGCATACCTCTGCTCTCTATCCAACACCACCTAGTACTAATCTTTTCCAATTCACAAGGTTAAAAAATGATATATCTATGTTCCCTTCATTTGGATTTCTTTGATGACTAGTAAGGTTGAAGTCTTTTCATATATTTATTAGTCACAGATATTTATTTTTATGTGAAATGGCTGTTTGTAATCTTTTTAAGAATGTTTATAGTTTTAATACTAATTTGTATGATTAGGCATAATAATCAATGTTAACTTTTTTTTTTACCAAGTGCCAAACATTCCTCTAAACATTGAAAAATATTAACATTTAATCAGGCATATACATTATAAACATTTCACCCTGTTGCTTTTGTTTCTCTTTCAGCCTTGCTCATGTGGTTTTTTTTTTGTTTTGTTTTGTTTTGTTTTGTTTTGTTTGCTATAAAAGTCGTCTAGATTTTGAAATTCCTTTGTGATTTCTACATTTTTGGTCATGTTTAAGGAGGTCTTCCCTTTTGATTAATCATAATGTTTTTATACAACTATAAGATAGACACTACCATGTTTCACATTTGTTTGGAAATTCCTGGTGGCCATTCTCATTGTCTGGAATTATTCTAAAATAGTAAATGTTTTTTAATTCCAAAAAAAAGAAGATGTCCAATGGCATTTTTGGGAACAGATATAAACATCAGTGTATCTGTCAAGGAGATGAGAGTGAGAAGTGGGAAGAAGGAAGCAGGAGGAAGGTGACTTAGCTTAGGAAGTATAGGTGCTTGGGTGGCCACAGAGACTGCTCCCCTGAAATGATTCTGGGTGATTCTTTTTTGTTTTTTGTTTTGTTTTGTTTTGTTTGAGATGGAGTCTTGCTCTGTCGCCCAGGCTGCAATACAGTGGCATGATCTCGCTGACTGCAACCTCCACCTCCCGGGTTCAAGTGATTCTCCTGCCTCCACCTCCCAAGTACCTGGGATTACAGGCATGCACCATCATGCCTGGCTAATTTCTGTATTTTCAGTAGAGACGGGTTTTCACCACATTGGCCAGGCTGGTCTCGAACTCCTGACCTCAGGGGATCTGTCTGCCTTGGCCTCCCAAATTGCTGGGATTACAGGCATGAGCCACCGTGCCCAGCTGTTGTTTTTTTAATGGGGTCTCACTATGTTTCACAGGCTGGAGTGCAGTGGCACCATCATAGCTCACTGCAATCTCAAACTCCTGGGCTCAAGCGAGCCTCCTACTTCAGCCTCTGAAGTAGCTGGGACTACAGGTTTTATACCACCATGCCTGACTGATTCTTTAATCTGATACTGTCAGCTCTTCCTCATCTTCCCCTTTGGCCTGACCGTTCCCTAGGAGGGGTTCACTCTCCCTCCCTTCACTGTTTCCTGCCCACCTAATCCAAACCTCAGATCCACACTCAAAACAAAGCTGATGTTTTCAAATAGAACTTCTTCCAACACTAAAATTTCTTTCCCAAATTAGTGAAATCAGACTCTGCAAACCAAGCACCACTTTAAAGGTTTGGCTTTTCTTCCTCATTTAAAAATAACGATTTGCAAGAAATAAAATACAAAACATAGGTGTAATGCATCTCCTATGACCTCACATTTTTAGGGTTTTTTTTTCTTGCCAACTGATCCTGCATTCATGCCAATGTCCCCTTTTTGTTTCCTTAAAAGTACTCAGTTGTTCCATCAAAAGCCAAAAAGAAAATAAACTATGTTTCTCAGGCAACGTGAGGCAATAGCAAAGGCCTCCAGCAGTTTGGGAACAGTTTTTGATTGAAAGGAAAGACCCAATTTTAATTGTCAGTTATTTCCTCCAGGAAAAAAAAAAAAAGCCAGCTTAAGTGTCTATGTATAGAGAAAGGCAAAGTTTTTTATTTGTTTGTTTTCAATTTGCCCTTAAGGCATTTATAGAAAGGAAGTAAACATAGATAATGGTATCAGACCCGTTATCTCAAAGTAAGGGAGAAAAAAATGTTCCAAGTGTTATAAATTCAAATATCAGCCCTGAAACTACTTTGTCTCTAGATTAACATTTAAATTCCTAAGCACAGAATTATGCAATATCTTAAAATATTATTTCTGAGTATTATTTAAATATCATTTCACATGCACACATAAATATACACACTCCAGCATAAATATAAATGTATGTGTATATAAATAGAACAGATATATAACAGATACGCTGCATACACAAACTTCTATACTTATGTGTGTATAGATGGAAGCAGCGTAGTACTTTCCAAAGCCAACCACATATTTTGAAAAGAGAAATTCATTCAAAACACAAACCAGCAAATCAGTTCTCCTCCCCTGGAGAGATCTGACAATTTTAAGGTCCCGAGCATAAGTACTTCTGGCTCTTTCTAGCAGGCATATTCCCAAGGTAGTGTCTCTAAAGGCAAACATACTTTTGTGGTAGGTAACTGTTTTCTTTGCCTCTGAATAACCGTGACCACATTCTCATGAAGAAAATTGTGGCCTGTGTTGCCAGTTATTTTATTTTTCCAGAGTAGAAAAAATTCCCACCCGAAGGCACAGAAATTAAAGTTCCTAAAGGAAAAGCCCATGTCTCATTACCGTTGGGAGGGTGTCCCTCAAATTCTCACGTATAATGACAATCTAGTTGTGATGGAGACTTTATATTACTTTCTAGAATCTGGAACGTGTGTGTGTGTGTGTGTGTGTGTGTATCTCAACACCTTCAAGTATACATGCAAAACTCCAGCAGAATTTAGCTGCAGTTGACATTAGTCGGTTTTAATTGTTTCATTTTCTTCATCTCTAGTATCTTTAGTTTATTATTACATTATTACTTATGCTCCCTATTTAATCAGGCATTTATGAAGTCTCTGTTCTGCATCTGGCACTGTGCCTGGTAACATGCATGCAAAGGTTATTTCTTTCTTCATTTATTTCAACCCATACCATTCCATGAATATTTGGGGATGTGCAAACGTAAAGATTCCTGCCCTGGAAGGGCTTACAGTCTTATTTTCTTTGCCATTTCCAGAGAATCAATTCTTAAAATTCGCCTGTTATTTATAAAATGTCTAATCTTATTAAATAAATATTTCACCTTATTTGGGGCCAAGAACAAAGCACATAATTCATCGTGAATCAGTTTTCATAACAGAGCTCTCCTATCTGGTGTCATGTCAACAGATATGGATTCAGGCCAGGGCCACCTGTGTTACACTTGTCTAAATATTGGAGTTTGTAATTACACAGGAAGAACAGAGCTCATGTTTCTTCAAATCGGTAGCTCTTTTTTTCTCTGATTTAGAAAAAAAAAGTACCAATCTGTTAGAAGAGACAATGTAACAGAAAGAATACATGTAAACATAGTTGAAAAATTGAAATTCTGATAGAATTTATCATTATAATTTTAAAAACTGGTAAACTTAGAAACTTCGGCATCTGGCTTCAGAGATTTAAACCCTTACAAAAGAATGTTTTATTCCATGAGTCCTAGGTGGCCAAGGTGTAGCCCTTTGCTTAATGTGTTCTTTAATGCCATGAATATGGAGCTCTTTAGATGACGTCTGTTCGACTTATTTGAACATCAGCATGCACATGTTTTTAAATATGGAGCTCTGGAGTCAAGTTCCAAGTCTAATAACTGAATCTGATTCTGTGTCCATAAAACCTAAGACATCTGACAGTGGTTTTGACCTGGAGAACTTTCAGATCATTTTTTTTTAAATTTTAACAAGTATTATTGTGTCTTAGGTTGGGTTGTCCCAGAGCAGGCATTAAGACAAAGATGAGAAAACAAGCAGTGCATTTAAGAAATCCTGAGAAATACTGGTAAAGGTAGAGAAGAGAGACATGGAAAAGAAGAATGCAATAAAGATCATCATCAAGCCAGTTGCCACTACGGGCAATCAGGGCCCCACCTGGCTGAGGAAAGCAAAGTCAAAGAACAAACCTCAGCTATCCCACTTGACTGATAAGGAAGCTGGGCCACTCACTTTCTAATTCCTACCTGTAACTGACTAAAAGCCATTCTCAGGGACACTAAGCCCTCAAGGGGAGAATCATCTGCAGTCTCTCTCTGTTCACATGTACAGTGTATCAGTCAGGGTTCTCTAGAGGGACAGAACTAATAGGATTGCTGAACATATAAAGGGGAATTTATTAAGGAGTATTGACTCACACGATGACAAGGTGAGGTCCCACAATAGGCTGTCTGCAAGCTGAGGAGCTAGGAAGCCAGTCCGAGTCCCAAAGCTGAAGAACTTGGAGTCTGATGTTCGAGGGCAGGAAGCATCCAGCATGGGAGAAAGATGGAGTCCAAAAGACTGAACCAATCTAGTCTTTTGTCGTTCCTCTGCCTGCTTTTATTTTGGCCGTGCTGACAGGTGATCAGATGGTGCCCACCAGATTCAGGGTGGGTCGGCCTTTCCCAGTCCACTGACCCAAATGTTAATCTCCTTTGGCAACACCCTCACAGACACACCCATGAACAATACTTTGCATCCTTCAGTCTGATCAAGTTGACACTCAACATCACATGTGCAAAAGGTGAGTGCCAAAGGGAATATGGCTGTAAATCATTTTTCTGTACAAATTCTATTACACCAATTTAATTCCTGACTTAGTTTTCCATATGGAGTGGCCAAATAGGACCTCCCTCCACCTTTGTTTTTTGTTTTTCTATTTTCATTCGCGTTGTGCTAGAATTAACCAATTATAGTTTCAACTGTTGTAAGTCTTCTTCTGTGGCCCTTATTTCTACCAAGTCCAGTTTTCTTTTTCTTTTTTTAAATTTATTTTAGATTCAGGGGATACGTGTGTATGTTTGTCACATGAGTATATTGCATAAAGGGGTTTAGGCTTCTAGCATACTCATCACTCAGATATTGAACACTGGACTCCGTGAGTAATTCTTCAACCTTTATCTCCCTCCCTCCTTCCCCAATTTTGGAGTCCCCAGTGGCTATCATTACCATCTTTACATCTATGTGTACTCATTGTTTTAGCTCCCACTTATAAGTGAGAACATGCAATATTTGATTTTCTGTTTCTGAGTTCACTTAGGATAATGGCATCTAGTTCCATCCATGTTGCTGCAAAAGACATGATTTCATTCATTTTTATGGCTACATAATATTCCATGGTGTTTATATACGACATGTTCTTTATCCAATCCACTGTTGATGGACACTTAGGTTGGTTCCATGGAGGTCCAGTTTTCTTACATCTAAATTTTACTCTGCAGATTTAGCCATTGTCATTTTTATTTGTGTTTGATTGCTTCTACTAGGGACAGCCACTGTAAATGAGATTAAGAAAAGCCCGCCAGGTGCAGTGGCTCATGCCTGTAATCCCAGCACTTTGGGAGGCCGAGG
Source organism: Homo sapiens (assembly GCF_000001405.40). Classification (NCBI taxonomy): domain Eukaryota; kingdom Metazoa; phylum Chordata; class Mammalia; order Primates; family Hominidae; genus Homo; species Homo sapiens. Next base: position 15,617,646 of record NC_000010.11, on the reverse strand, counting down.
CGGGTGGATCATGAGGTCAGGAGATCGACACCATCCTGGTTAACACAGTGAAACCCCGTCTCTACCAAAAAATACAAAAAATCAGCCAGGCGTTGTGGCAGGTGCCTGTAGTCCCAGCTACTTGGGAGGCTGAGGCAGGAGAATCACTTGAACCCTGAAGATGGAGGTTTCAGTGAGCCGAGATTGCACCACGGCACTCCAGCCTAGGCGATGGAGCGAGACTCTGTCAAAAAAGAAAAAAAAAAAACAGACAGTTTGACCTCTATGTTAGCCAATCACCTAAATAATTGTGACCATTCCCCCTTACCTAGTCCAGGATTGCTCCACTGCAGTCAACCAGTTCCACCACTTACCTACTTGTGTGAATGTTAGGAAATTTACAGTTTAGCCTTCTTAAGTCTCAATTGACTCATTTGCAAAATTGTGCTAATAATAAAGACCTCCTACCTTCTTGTTAGGAATCATTCAAAGGAAATCCTTTAAAAGGCCTCCTGGCATATAGTGCTGTTCCATGTGCTATTTATTAGGATTGCTGTTGTCATTTCAGATCATTATAATATGTTAGTTATTTTATATACTACTGATTGCTTTGCCAAAAGTATACTCACCACCCATACTATTTGTAAAGAGCAAACGGTTGTGTCAAAATGACAATCAGAACGTTCCACTTCTGGGTTAATACCCTTCCTCATAGGGTATTCACTGGTGAGAGTGATAACACGAAATGTGTAATGAGCCTGGTACCTAGCAGACACTAAGCAGCTGACTTTCCCCTTTTCCTTCCCTGGGTGTATATGCCTTGAACCTGAAGGATAGGAAAAGTGATGCGATGATGAGTTTCTAGAAATTGACCTTCCTAAGCACAGAAGGGTTTGAGATCCACTGATGGACGTTTTATTAAGTTGGTTATAGTGAAGCTCCAACATCCTTTCCAAAATGCCTTAAGAAAGGTGTGATTTCTCTTCTAATTTTGTGGCTCTCGTACCATCAGCATGTAGGGGTATTCTATGTGCTACTTACGATTTTGAACTTAGTAAATTGTTTCTATACGATTCACGCATGTGTTCTGTGTTTTTGTCTTTTTAAGATTTGATTGTGGGTGCATTTGGAACAGGAAAAGTCGCTGTTTACAGGTATGTGGTTGGTAGTATTCAAATGTTTTTCTCATTGTTTCAAATACATTTTCTTGTTAGTTCTGCCTTAAAGAGAGCATTCCAACGATTTATTCTGGGGAATATTTAGATGCTCTTTTTAAAGTCTAGAGGTATTTTTTGCTCTCACTCTTTCTTTCCTTTGCATTTTTACTCTCATACTGCATGACCAAACTTCCAGATTTTATGAACATAACATTAAATAAGATATGAAATGAAGCAGATCTTATAAAATGACCCACTTTTTAGACGTTACTGAATTTGATTTATTCTCTTTGCTTTGGAAATGCATTGAAATGTTCACTTGTAAAGAAGCGGTGCAGGGTAGAAGAATGTTACTATTTATCCTGGCTTCCATAATCAAACTGGACACTAAGTTAGGGAATAGAACATTCCAAGAGTTGGTAGCCTCCAAAGGCAAGTATTGAAAACAGT